>NC_000003.12:126281331-126432846 GCF_000001405.40 Homo sapiens | reverse complement strand
TTCATTGAGGCATAATTCACAGACAATAAAATTAGCATAACCATCATAAAATATACAAGTCAGTAATTTTTTATATATTCAAGGAGTTTACACAACCATGACCATAATCTAATTTTAGAACATTTTCATCACCCTGTGCCCATTAACAGTCACTCCTCATTGTCCCCTCTATCCTTTGGTCTTAAGCCACCATGAATCTACTTTGTGTCTACCCTGAACACTTCATAAAAATGGAGTCACACAACATGTTTTCTTTTGTGACTCGCTGCTTTCACCCAGCATATTTTCAAGGTCCCTCCATGTTGCAGCATGTGTCAGCACTTCATTTCTTTTTATAGCTGAGTAATCTTCCATTGCATACGTAGGCCACACTTTGTTGATCCATTCATCCATTGATGGGCATTTGGGTTGTTTCCACCTTTTGGCTCTTGGGAATATTGCTGCTATGAACATTCATGTGCAGGTTTTTGTGAGGACATGTTTTCAATTCTCACGAATATATATCTAGGAGCAGAATTTCAACATTCACCTTTCTTTTTTCCTTTTTTTTTTTTTTTTTTTTTTGAGACGGAGTCTTGCTCAGTCGCCCAGGCTGGGTGGAGTGCAGTGTCACAATCTCGGCTCACTGCAAGCTCCGCCTCCCGGGTTCACACCATTCTCCTGCCTCAGCCTCCTGAGTAGCTGGAACTACAGGCACCCGCCACCACGCCCGGCTAATTTTTGTATTTTCAGTAGAGACGGGGTTTCACTGTGTTAGCCAGGATGGTCTCGATCTCCTGACCTTGTGATCCTCCTGCCTCAGCCTCCCAAAATGCTGGGATTACAGGTGTGAGCCACTGCGCCCGGCCTCAACATTCACCTTTCAAGTGAAATAAGAAACAGATGCACAAGGGACATGCTGCTCAGAGTTGGTCCTCAGACATCCTGGGCATCACCTGCAAGTGTGTCAGAAATGCAGAGTCTTAGGCCTTGACCCATGCCTATTGAATCAGAAACTTCATTTTAAGATCCCTGGGGGATTCAAGTGCACATAAAGTCTGAGAAGCACTTCAGTATAGGGAAAGTGATCTGGTTTCTTCAACAAATGGATGGCAAGGGGGAAAACAAAGGAAACCTATAGATTGATTTTATTGATAGAAGATTTTATAGATAGAAGAATTTAACGATACAACCAGAGGAATAGCATCAGCAAGATGGTGGAATAGGGGGTCCTCAGCTCTTGTCCTTCCACAGAAACACTAATTTGACAACCATCCATGGATGAAAATGTCTTTGTCAGAGCTCCAGAATTCAAGGGAGAGGTTATAGCACCCAGTGGTGCATAAAAACAGAGAAAAGCCATAGAGAGTGAGAGAATAGTTTCATTCTGCCTATGTCACCTCTCCCCCAAGCCATGGCAGTGCTGAAAGAGATCTCATTGGCCTGCAGTTTCTCCTGTTGGGGGAAGGAGAAAGCAAGGTGGAACCCCCAGGTTTCCATTCATTTTGGGGTATTTCCCAAGAGGCCCATTTCTCTCTCATCTCTGCCTTAGCCCTGGTGTAACTGTCATGGATGGATCACCTCGAGGGCAGCTAGGAACAAATAAAAGGCACAGGGGCTGATAGCACCCAGTGTGCAGACCTCACCTGTCTGTAGGCCCTGTGCAGACCTCACCTGTCTGTAGACCCACCACAGCAGGCCCCACCCACCTTGGACCCTGGCAGTAGGCCCTGCCCACAGACCCCACCAGCCAACACATGGAGAATCTCTGGCTGAGCTCTCTGGCTTTCTCCTTTGGCTTTCCTTGCTGAAGCCAGTCCCTAAAGACTGAAAGAAGCAAGTCCTTCTTCAAATGTGCAGATAGCAATGCAAGGCCACAAGGATCATGAAAAATCAGGGAAACATGACACCACAAAAGGAACCTGATAAGCCTCCAGTTATTGACCCTAAAGAAATAAAGATCTACAATCTGCCTGAAAAAGAATTCAAAATAATTGTCTTATAGACTCCCAGTGAACTGTAAGACAACACAGATAGGCAACTAAACAAAATCAGGAAAACAATATAAGGTCAACAAAGAAATAGAAACCATAAAAAAAAACCCAGAAATTATTGAGCTAAGAATGCAATGACTGAACCAAAAATTTCAAGAGAGCTGTAACAGCAGACTAGATCAAGCAGAAGAAAGAATCAGTGAACTCAGAGATAGGTCACATGAAATTAGCCAGCTAGAGGAGCAAAAGGGCAAAAAAATGAAAAAGAGAAAAAAGCTTATGGGACTTACAGACATCATCAACTGAAACAGTATATGCATTATAAGAGTTCAAGGAAAAGGAGAGAGAGAAAGGGCAAAGTATTTTTTATTTTTATTTTTATTGATACATAATGTACATATTTTTGGAGTACCTGTGGTAATATATTCATATAATTTATAAGATCAAATCAGTGTAATTGGGATGTCCATCACTTTAAATATTTGTCTTTATACTAGAAACATTCAAATTATTCTCTTCTAGCTGTTTTAAAGTATACAGTAGATTACTTTAGACTACAGTCATGCCACTAATGTATCAAACACTAAATCTTATTTCTTCTATCCAACTTTATATTTGTACCTAATAATCAAGAGAACTTAAAGAAATAATGGCTGAAATTTTCCCATGTCTGGAGAGGAAAATAGATATCCAGATTCATGAAGTCTAAAGATTCCCAAATAAGTAGAAGCTAAGAGATCTACTTTGGGACATATTATAATGAAATTATCTAGAGTCAAAGATAAAAAGATTTTGATAGCAAGAGAAAAGTGACTTATCATGTACAACAACTGCTCTAAGACGATCAGTATATTTCTCACCAGAAATCTTGCAGATCAGGAGAAAACGGGTTGATATATTTAAAGTACTGAAAGAAAAAAATGGCTAAAAAGAATACTATACGCAGGAAAACTATCCTTTAAAAATGAAGAGGAGATAAAGACTTTCCCAAACAAAACCTGAAGGAGGTGGTCACCCAGGATACTTGCCTTAGAGAAGTGCTAAAGAGAGTTCTACAAGTTGAAACAAAAAGTTACTAAATACCAACACGAAAGCATACAAAAGTATAAATCTCACTGGTAAATGTAACATCACAAAAAATGGTTACATTCAGAGGTTTCTGTATGCAATTGAAGTAAATTTGTTATCAGCTTGAAATAGACTATTATAAGATGCTCAATGTAAGTTTCATGGTAAGTACAAAAAAAAAAACCTACAGTAGATACAAAAGAAGATAAAGAGAAAAGAATCAAAGCAGATCACTGAAAAACAAAAACAAAAACATCAAACCCAAAAGAAAGCAGAAGAGGAAGAACAAGAGAGCTGTGAAACAGACAGAAAAAATGAACAAAATGGCAGCAGTAATATAGACAAAATAGACTTTAAGTCAAAAACTGTCACAAGAGGCAGAGAAAAGAAGATTAACATAAAATCAGAAATTAAAGAGACATTACAATTGATGCACAAACAGAAAAAGAAACATAAGGAGCTATTAGACAATCCAGAAAAAACAATGGATAACTTCCTAGAAACATACAACCTACCAAGACTGAATCAAGAAGAAATAGTCTTAACAGATCAATAACAAATAGGGAGATTGACATAGTAATCAAAACGCTCCTAACAAATAAAAGCACAGGACCTCATGGTGTCATGGGTGACTTCTACCAAACATTTAAAGAATTAACAGTAATCCTTTCTTTTTTTTTTTTTTTTTTTTTTTTTTTGGATGGAGACGCACTCTATCACCCAGGCTGGAGTGCTGTGGCACAATCTTGGCTCACTGCAGCCTCCACCTCCTGGATTCAAGCAATTCTCCTGCTTCAGCCTCCCAAGTAGCTGGAACTACAGGCATGCACAACCACACCTGGCTCATTTTTTTGTGTTTTTAGTAAAGACAGGGTTTCACTATGTTGGCCAGGCTGGTCTCGAACTCCTGACCTCAGATGATCCACCTACCTCGGCCTCCCAAAGTGCTGGGATTACAGGCGTGAGCCACCACACCCAGCCAGCAATCCTTTTTAAACTCTTCCAGAAACGGAAGAGGAGGGAACATTTCCAAGCTCATTCTATGAAGCCAGTATCACCTCGATAGCAAAGACAGACACCACCAGAAAAGAAAACTTAGGCCAATATCCCCTATGAACGTAGATGCAAAAATCATCCCAAAACTATCAAACAGAATTCAACAGTGCATTAAAACGATCAAACACACCTCACCCTAACACATGCACAGCCTCTCCCACTATCAACATCCCCCTCCAGAGTAGCACATTTGATACAATCAGTGAACCTTCCTGGACACATTATCACCCACAGTCCAGACTTTACATGCAGGTTCCCTCTTGGTACTGTGTATTCTATGGGTTTGGACAAATGTATTATATAATGATATGTATCCATCATTATAGCATCATACACAGTATTTTCATTGCCCTGCAAATGCTGTGTGCTTTCTCTCTCTTTATCCCTCTCTCCCTCTAAGTCCCTGGTAACCACTGATTCTTTTAGTTTCCCTACAGTTATGCCTTCTCCAGAATATCATAGAGTTGGAATCATACAGGGTATAGCCTTTCCAGGCTGAGTTCTTTCACTTAGTAATATGCATTTAAGGTTCTTCCATGTCTTGTCATGACCTGATAGCTCATTTCCTTTTAGCACTGAAAAATATTCCATTTTCTGGAGGTACCACAGTTTAATGATTAATATTGTTTGGATCTGTGTCCCTGCCCAAATCTCATGTTCAATTGTAATCCCCAGTGTTGGAGGTGGGGCCTGGTAGGAGGTGATTGGATCATGGGGGCAGTTTCTCATGAATGGTGTAGCACCATCCCTTTGGTACTGTTCTCCTGATAGGAGTGACTTCTCATGAGATCTGGTTGTTTAAAAGTGTGTGGCACCTCCCCACTCCCATTCTCTTGCTGCTGCTCCAGCCATGTAAGATGTGCCTTCACCTTCTGCTATGACTGTAAGTTCCCTGAGGCCTCTCCAGAACCTGAGCAGCTGCCAGCATCATGCTTCCTGTACATCATCATATGCCCAGGAGTCACAAATTAAAACAAAATACCACTACACATCTATTGGAATGGCCAGATCCAAAACACTAACAACACCTAATGCTGGCAAGGATTTGGAGCAAGAGGAAGTCTCATTCATTGCTAGTGGGAATGGAAAGTGGTACAGACACCTTGGAAGACAGTTTGTCAATTTCTTACAAAACTAAACATACTTGTACTATATGATCTAGAAATTGTGCTTTCTAGTATTTACCCAAATGAGTTGAAAACCTACGTCCACACACAAAAAAATCTGCACATGGATGAGCCATACAGACACGGCACTGAGGGAAAGAGACCAGACACCAGTGAAAACCTACTATATTATTATTATCTTGAAGTTCTAGAACCAGCTACTTTGGTTATCCATTGCTCCACAACAGGTTACACATAACATGCATTTATTACCTCAGAGTGTACGGTACTTATGTGGGTCAATTGCTAGGCTCTCTATTCTATTCCAATTATCTATTTCACTATTCTTTCACCGGTACCAAACACCATCTTCATTACTGTAGTTTTATTAAGTCTTGAGGTTGGCTAGTGTCAGTCACCCAGTTTTCTTGTTCATCTTCAGTGCTGTGTTGGCTATTCTGGGTATTTTGACTCTTCATATAAACTCCAGAATCAGTTTGTCAGTAACTACAAAGTAACTTCTTGGATTTTCATTGGGATTGCATTGAAGTTATAGATCAAGTGGGAAGAATGACATCTTGACAATACTGAGCCTTCCTATCCCTGAACATGGAATATCTCTCTATTTATTTTCCTTTGATTTCATCAGAGTTTTACAGCTTTCCTCATATAGATCTTGCATGTTTTGTTAGATTTATACCTAAGTACTTCATTTCAGAGGGTGCTAATGTAAATGGTATTGTGTGTTTAATTTTGAAGTCCACTTGCACATTACTGGTATATGAGAAAGCCATTGACTTTTGTATGTTAATCTTGTATCCTGCAACCTTGCTTCTTGCTATAACAGCTTATTAGTTCCAAGAGCTTTTTAATTTTTATTATTTATTTATTTATTGAGACGGAGTCTTCCTCTGTCACCAGGCTGGAGTGCAGTGGTGCGATCTCAGCTCACTGCAACCTCCGCCTCCCAAGTTCAAGTGATTCCCCTGCCTCAGCCTCCCAAGTAGCTGGGATTACAGGCACGCACCACCACGCCCAGCTAATTTTTTGTATTTTAGTAGAGACGGGGTTTTACCATGTTGGCCAAGATGGTCTTGATCTCCTGACCTCATGGTCTGCCTGCCTCAGCCTCCCAAAGTGCTGGGATTACAGGCATGAGCCATTGCACCCAGCCTTTTTTTTTTTTTTTAAGACAGGGTCTCACTGTGTCACCCAGGGTGGAGTATAGTGGCATGATCATGGCTCACTGCACTCCTGGGCTCAAGTGATCCTTGCACCTCAGCCTGCCAAGTAGCTAGGACTTCAGATGTGTGCCACCATGCCTAGCTAAGTTTTTTATTTTTTCTAGCAATATGGTCTCACTATGTTGCCCAGGCTGGTCTCGATCTCTTGGCCTCAAGTGATCTTCCTGCCTTGGCCTGCCAAAGTGCTGAAATTACAGGCATGAGCCACTGCACTTGGCCATCAGGAGCTTTTTGTTGATTGTTTTGAATTTTCTACATAGACATTCATGTCATCTGTGAACAAGGACAGTTTTATTTCTTCCAATCTATATACATTTTATTTTTCTTGTCTTATTACATTAGCTAAGACTTCCAATACAATATTGAAAAGTAGTAGTGAGAGAAGACCTCTTTGCCTTATTTCTGATCTCATGAGAAAGCTTCTAGTTGTTGTTTTTTTTGTTTCATTAGGTAAGATGTTAGCTGTAGGATTTTTGTGTTCTTTATCAAAATTGAGGAAATTCCCTTCTATTCCACATTTTCTGAAAGCTTTTATTATGAGTGGATGTTGGATTGTGTTCAGTGCTATTTCTTATGATCATATCATGTGACTTTTCTTATTTAACATGTGGATATGACAGATTATGTTAAGTTTTGAATGTTGAACCAGCCCTGCATACCTAGGATAAATCCCATTTGGTTGTGGTATATACTTCTTTTCCTATACTGTTGGATTCAATTTGCTAATATTTTGTTGAGGATTTTTGCATCTATGTTGAGGATATTGGTGTCTACTTTTCCTTTCTTGTAATGCCTTTGTCTAGTTTTGGTATTAGGGTCATACTGGCTTCATAGAATGGGTTAGGAAGTACTCCCTCTGCTCCTATCTTCTGAAAAGTGATTGTAGAGAATTGGTATAATTTCTTCCTTAGATGAAATTCTTCCTTTGTAGAATTCACCAGCAAACCCATCTGAGCCTGGGGCTTTCCCTTTTGGAAGGCTATTATTTATTTAATTTGTTTAATGGAATAGGCCTATTATGATTGTCTATTTGTTTTATATATTTTTAAGACTATATTTTGATTTTTTTTCTGAGAAAAGATGGCTGAGTTCATGGAAGTTAAATACACATGGGCTGTGACTCCCCTGGAAACAAAGTATGGGTGCTCTCAGGGATGGCTTGGCTGGCTGAAGACCAGCTTTGGGATGTCACATCCAGCATTCTGCTATGAGGTTTACGTTTGCATGCATGTGTTGGAGGAGGAACCTGTCTTCTTGCCCAATTATCTGGAAAGCTGGAGCCTGTCCACCTCTCCCCAGCTCATCTTCCTCTGTGTCTGTCACCTCCCAGCTTTCCAGGGCACATAGTCTTGCCTGAGGCTGGGGATTTCAGGTCATTATGGGGACTCTTTGCCATACTGCACCAACGGGACATGGGTGCTCAGGAGCATGGTTCCCCCATGGGACACTTAAGCCTCAGTGGGCTCCCACCTCAGTGCCTTTGCACCTGCTGTTCCCGCTGCCTGGGACCCTCTTCGCCCAGCCTGTGTGGATGGCTTTCCTCCCACTCCTCAGGAAGTTTCCTGACACCTCCTGGAAGCCTTCTCTACCCCTCCCATCTGCTGTCACCCTCCATTTTAGCCCTCTTTCTCAAATTGCTTTATTTTCCTCCTAGAACACATCAGTATGCACAAGTCACATCTGTGGATCTGTTTGTTGTATCTGCTGCCATTAAGGTCAGCTGCATGAGGGCAGGGCCTTGCTTTATCCTTGCAGAGCTTAGACCCAGGCCTGACCCAGAACGGATGCACAGGCAGTGTGTGGGGAGTGAGCAGAGGATTCCCTGCTCTGGACATGCCTCACCAGTGCCTCAGGCTGACCCTGCCCTGCCCAGTTCTCCTGGAGGCAGGTACCCTGCAGGGGACTGAGTGGCCACACCCAGCAGGAGGGACCATAATAGCCTCAATTGGGCTCCAGGTGAGAGCTGGGCAGCCACCTGACTTCTCCTGCTGCCTCTCTGGCTGGAACTGGGAGGGCAGGATTTTCCCAAGGCCCTAGCCACTTTGCCATGCTGGACAAGCTGTGTTTTAGGCCTGTCCCCAGAGGCCCCAGTCCTGGGTGGCCAGATGGCCCTCACCCATCCCTGCCCGTCTCAGCCCCACCTAGCCCCAGCCTGCAGGATGGCACAACTCGCCATGCCCATGTCCTCGTGCTCAGGGCTGCACCCACTCCCGTCCCCGTTATGCTGCTGAACAACAGCAGGGGACACACTTCACAGCAGCCCACAGGTGGCTTGGCCTTCCCCAGTTCTGTGCCGCGAACACCCGCTCAGTGGTCTACGAAATATGAAGCAGCAGCAGCTTCCAGGCCCTTCTGAGCAAATGACTGCTTTCGGTGCCTGTGTGAAGCATGTTAGTGCTGCTATGAACTGGGGGGTCAGGGTCGCTGTGGACCTCCAGCCACTCCAAGGGCCTCCCAGGAGCTTGGCAGCAGCAGAAGGCGCCTAGGGCAGAAGGTCCTTGGAGAGGCCTGGCTCTAGCCATGGGCTGCTTCAGGGTGGGCACGGGTGCCTGGGCCCTGCCCACCCCCAGCTCCACCACCCTCTCTCCAGGATCCGGCCCACAAACGGAGCTTCGCTCGGAGCTTTTCAGACAACCTGGACCAGGCCAGGGCCACGGACGGGTGTGGGCTGTTTCCCCAACTTGGCTCCCAGTGCTAGGGGGATCCCAGGATGAGAGCGGCAGGGAGCCCCCACTGGCCACCGCATAGCACCTACATGCGGATCTGGGTGTGTTTCAGGGTGTGGCTCAGCTCCTCCAGGGTCTTCTCCGTCTCCTGGCTGTTCTGGATCAGCGACAGGTTCTGCTCCTCCAGCTCTCGGAAGACATCCAGGAGCTGCTGGGGCTCCGTGAAGTACAGCTGTGGTTCCTGCAACCCACAGGTTTTGGCAGGGACTGGACAGGGACAGAGCCAGAGGGGCAGGGGTGGGGGCAGGGAAAGAGAGGGGCGACTTCCGAATTCCAGCCCAGCACTGGGCCATTCACCTCCCCATCGCTGTCGGTGTCCTCCTGCGTGGGGGGGATGGGAGAGTTCGACCTGCGAAGAGATGGCAGGGTCGGGACTCTGGGACCAGCCTGAGCAGACAGGAGCCAGGGGAGGGGGCACAGAGGTCTTGAAGGCGTTGGCAGCATCCCCATCCCTCCTCTCCCAGCTGCCCACAAGTTACCCAGAGGGCAGCACCAGCTTCCTCACAGTCCCCAGCTGCCACACTGCAGCCAGGGGATAGTTTCAATCCACTCATTTTCCCAAGGCCGTAGCCACTTTGACATGCTGGACAAACCATGTTCCAGACCTGTCGCCAGAGGCCCCAGTCCTGGGTGGCCAGATGGCCCTCACCCATCCCAGCTCCACTGCACTTAGAATAAAACCTGCTCTCCTCTTGGGTCATGCCAGGCAGCCCTCCCAGCACTCACCTTGCCTCCCCTTCCCCAGCCCCTCTGCCCTGCCTGGCCAGGTCCCATCTCTCTAGGTGCTGCCCTACCCCAGGCCTCTGCACCTGCGGCTCCGCTGCTGGGGCTGCCCCTCCTCCCTCACCCTTGTTTACTGAGTGCCACCTTTGAGGCCTTTCCTGCCCTGCCTCCCCCATCTAGGGTCAGTCTTGGCCCCTGTCCTGGGGGTCCCACTCACAGCAATAGAGGGACTCTCAGGGCTGCCTCCAGGTGATCCTGAGTGCCCAGGGGCAAGGTCTGTCCTGGACCAGTGGAGAGGGGCTGGGAACAAGCTGTGTGAGCTTTAAGCACTCAGTGTGGGCCCCAGAAGGCCCCACTCGATGGGGACCTCACCTGCACTGACTTCCAAACCTGCCCTCCCAGCCTGCTCCACCCTGGGCCTCACCTAGGATCTGCAGGTCCTGCTGACTGAGGTGGGGGGGGCTGCGCTGGCTTGCCCCAGGCACCTCAGGGACCTAAGCTTGGGCTTGGAGATGCCAGCCCCTGATCCCCAGAAGCAGAGAGGCATCAGGGCAAGGTCCTGTGGGACTCTGACAGCAGATCCAGGAGGGCTTCCCAGGAGAGGCTGTGATAACAACTACAGCACTCGCCAGACCCACGCCTCACACTGCACACCGATGCCCATTTTACAGATGAGAGAGCCGGCTGCCTGCAGGGCGCTGCTGGCCCATACGATGCCTTTCTGATAATCCACCCTCCAGATGGATGTAGCCTGGGTCAGGGAGCCTGACCTGGCGGTTGGTGGGCATGGGCTGGACTTCAGCCCCCATGTTCCCTCTTGGCTGAGTGAGTGCCTTATATAGCTCACAACCTGCCCAGCTATACTCAGTGGCCCTGGTCACCTGGCAAATAGATGGAGGGGCCAGGATTGAAACCCAGGACAGTGTGATCCCCGACTCTGTTCTCAAGTCTCCCAAGTGAGGGCCTGTCTGGTAGGGGGCAGTCCATGGCTGAGGGAGCCCTAGGCGGAGCAGGCTGCACTGCATACATTAGAACCTCTGCTCCTCAACGCAGAACTGGAAATGTCCCCCCACCAGCAGGGCGTCATGGTGGGCAACGTTAACAGCAGCCTGTGCGTGGCGCAGCAGCATGCCCCAGTGGTGGCTGGTCTTCACCACAAGGCGTGGCCACACTGGGCAGAAAGGAAAGCCAGCTTGGGTCCTCTTCCAACTGGAGAAGCATCAGTTTGGGCCATGGGAGGCTGATGTTGGGGCTACCCATCTGGGTGTGGAGTTCAGGAATAGGCAGTCGTGGAGAGGGGAAGACAGAGGGTGGAGAGCAGAAGGGCTGAGCAGCAGATAAAGGCCCCGTGGAGGAGAGTGGGTTGCCACAGACACAGGGCCCGGGCAGGGATGTAGGGAGCAGCCCTGAGCCCTACAGTGCCCACTTCTCTCCATCCCTGCTTCTGCCACCCTTATCCAAGCCGATAAAAAGCATCAGCTTCCAGAAGAAAACACAGGAGAATATTTTAGTGACTGTGATGTTGGCAAATATTTCTTAAGCAGGGCCCCAAATTCACCAATTATAAAATTAAAGATTGGTAAATTTGGCTTCACTAAAATTAAGAATTCCTGTTCTTCAAAAGACAATAGTGAACAGAAATAAGGTGGCCAGGTGTAGTGGCTCATGCCTGTAATCCCAGCACTTTGGGAGGCTGAGGCGGGCGGATCACCTGAGGTCAGGAGTTTGAGACCAGCCTGCCCAACATGGCAAAACCCCGTCTCTACTAAAAATACAAAAAATTAGCCGGGTGTGGTGGCACATGCCTGTAATCCCAGCTACTCGGGAGGCTGAGACAAGAGAATCGCTTGAACCTGGGAGGCGGAGGTTGCGGTGAGCTGAGATCACACCACTGCACTCCAGCCTGAGCAAGAAGAGCAAAACTCCATCTCAAAATAAATAAATAAATAGAAATAAGGCAAGATGCAAACTGGAAGAAGATACGTGTACCACACCACACCGGGCTGGTCCCCAGAATACATAGAGAACCAATAGGTAACCATAAGAACCAGGCCAATAATCCAACAAAAATGTACAGAAATCAGACACTTCACAAAAAAATGATATGTATGAAATGTATTCAGATTTGTCATCAGGAAAATGTCCTGATAACCATATGAGACCACCTCACCCACGTAGTGACCGTGACTGATGTTCTGTGCTTTGATGCTTTTGACACCTGTGGCCTTGCCGAGCCTGGAGGGACCACCTCTCTCAGGGTCCATCAATCCATGGAGACAGGAAATGACTCACCCTGGGCTCTGAGCTTGCCCTCAGCTCACCTTTCAAATGCAAACCACCCAATCCACTGTCCACACCCCAGCCAGATCATCTATCAGACTTTCACACTCAGTACCTATCCCCCCAGGGCCAGGACCAGACAACCAGGGGCAGGCCTTTGTCCAAGAGCCCGAAATTATTCAAAAACAAATCAGCCTTACACCTGCTCACCCGCCTCAACCTTAATTCCCATGGGAACCACAATGGAAACTCCTGCCCACAGGTCCTACTCCCTCTGCCTCCTGGCCGGCCTGGGACGTCCCTGTCTGGCCCTTCTTGGAGTAGGGACTGTGAGTAACACACTTTCTTTTCTGTGGCACTCAGACCTGACTACACATGGGTGCCACAAGGGAGGGCTCGCCGCTAGGCCTCAGCCCCTCCCAACCACCCGAGCCCACTCACCCTCTGGAGTCGCCACCGCTGGACTCGCTGGGCTGGCTGCCTTGCTGGGGGCTGCTCAGGTAAGACGGGCTCCGCCCCAGCCGCATCGTCTGCAGAAACCTCCAGGGCTTCTTTGTACCCTGACCCTCTGGAGAAAGCAGAGGAATAGTTTCCGAGCCCTGTGCAGGGCAGAGCCAGGCTCCTCCTCAGGCTGGGGGCGGCAGCTCACCTTTGGCCCACATGGAGCTCGCCTTGCCCTTGATCCCTGGTCCTGCAGGAAGCAAAGGGGGGGCCCCGATGGCCTCAGCTGCAGCCAAGCTTCAGCAACGCCATGTGGCCCAGATGCCTGCAGGTAACCTGCCAGCTGGGCTCAGGGTCGCAGTGGGCCACTGGCAGAGCCCACCTGGGAACCCACATTCTCTTTTCTGCTACCTTTGTCCCCTGGTGTGGAGTTAACACTGCTCTCTTTGGAAGCCTCGGAGACCTCCTTGGCCTTTTTGAGAAACGAGTGTTTCTTTTCCTGTTCTTCAAGCCACTCCTTGGGCGACAGCTTGTATAGGAAATCCTTATAGACCTTGTAATGCTTCAGAGTGTCTTCAAATCTGGAGATCTCACTACACCGGGGCGGGGTGAGGATGTGGGAAGGAGGAGGTCAGCCTCTGCCACAGCGAGGTCCCCATGCCGGGGCCACCCCTCCATCCTGGCCAAGTCTGTGTGGGCTCCTTGTTTTCCTTGAGAAAAGGTGCAGGAATGCCACATGCTGGAAGACAGGCACCCACCCTGCAACAAGCAGAGTCACAGCCCTTTGTGACTTGCAAGTTCCTCTCCACCCTGGAGACCGCACCTCTCTCAGGCTGTAGCTGGGCAAGCCTTTGAGCCAAGCTGCCAACCTCCAAGTGGAAGCCTTGAGAGTCACTGAATCTCTCTTGGTCTCACTCCCCTCGTCTATAAATGGGCAACAGCCTCATGGAAGCAGAGTCCCTGGGAGGTAAAGCCATGAGGTTCACATGGTGCTAGGCTTCCCTTGGCCAGGCAAAATGACTGAGGGACCAGGAGGTGGGCCAGCCAATGGCCAGCATGCCCTCTGACCTCACCTTTTGATATTAACAATCTGGGTGGTGAGGTCCCGGATCTCAAGGATCTTCTCTATCTTGGCTTTGGTCTCCTTCTCAGCCCTAGGGGTTGGGCGGCGGGGGAGGAGGGATGGGGGCAAGGGGCCAGTGGCAGCCTATTAAAGAGGGGTGAGCACACCACCCACAGGCCCCAGGGCTGGGCCCGGCTCCGGACAGGGCTGGAGAGCCACACAGTTAAGCCTTTTGCCCGTAGTGTCCCCTGCCCTTGGCTCCCGACCGGCCCTGGTGCTTCCAGAGGAGTTGCAGGGGCTGGGGGCAGAGGCTGGATAAGTGGGTGTGCACAGGCTCAGGGACAGTGGGGGTTCGGCATTGCCCAGCCAGCCCCTCGGGCCCGCAGGCTCACGCTCTCATGGCCTGCACGGAGCTGCAGTCATTCTCCCTGACGAACTCGTCGAACAAGGCGGCGTCCTTCTCCAGGGATTTCTCGGCCCGCTCCAGCCTGGCCTCCTCTTTGGTCGCCAGCGTCTCCAGCCGCTGGATCTCTCTCCGCTTGACATCCAGGGCATACTGGGGGCCAGCAGAGTGGGGTCATGGTGCCTGGCCCGGGCCAGCCACTGCTGGCATCCATCGCTCTGGGGGCCACGGGACCTACCTGGAGGAGGAACATTTGCCGCTTCTGCTTAATGTAGCCACTCATGTTCTCAGGCTCCACATTCTTTTCTGCTGGAAGAAGAGGGAGGTGAGCAGGAGCGGGAAGCCCAGGCTGAGGAGGGGCCTGGCAGGTCTGCAGAGGAGCCTTCCACCGGCTGCTGGCCACTGCTTTGCGTCCACGCCCAGGTGACTACCGGGACCATGGAAGGTAGTGTTCTTGTCCTCTGTCTCCACAAAAAGAGAGAAGGCTCTGCCTGAAATGTTACATTCTCCATGGCCAGAGTCCGGCCGCGTGGGAAGTCCTTACTGTGTCTGACTTGCGCCTTTCTTGCTGTAGCACTCACTTGCAGTAAGGCTCTGGACACCCCACCTGGGAAATTTCACCCAGCTGGACTTAATAGCCACAGGCCTTCTAGCCAGGACCTGAATGGGGATGAGGACAGAAAAATGGGGAGCCATAATTGCTACTTGGGGCACCTAAGCCCCCCGAGCAAACTGGGCAGAGGCTGAGTCTACACTGCCAGGGTTTAAACCAGACAGGAGGAAGTCGAGGTGGACGTCTGGACAACCTTCAGGAGAGCACGCAGAAGGACAGCGAGTCTGGGGCCAAGGGCCATAGGGGCCCCTTTCCCTGGCCTTCCTGGCGTGGAAGTTGTAGGCTGTCTCTGATTTGGGAGCTGTGGAAAGGACCTGGAAACCATGGGGCTCTCTGGCCCTGTCCCTCACACCCTTTCCTCTCCAGGAGCAGAGCCCTGCTTTGGCTGGTGCAAGAGCTCTGTTCCCAGAGTCCAGATCCCGGCAGAGGCCCTGGCTGGGCCTCCCTGGGTAGCCACGGAGATGTCCCTACCCCTGCAGGAGACCCAGCTCCTCTCTGGGAGTCATAGTCCCGCCTCCCCAGTCACTTGCCTCTCCTCCAGGTCTTGGGAATAAGGGTGGAGGCAGGAAAAAGAACAGGCCATGCTGTCTCCCCGTCTAACCCCCATTCCCCCTGCCTGCCTCTCCAACTGTGGGGCCTAAACGCCCCCACAAGCTCAGGGCGCCACTCCCCAGGTGGAGGCTGGAGGCCCTTGTGTGTTTCAGAGTCACATGGTACACCTCTAATCCCCTGTGCGCCAGGACTCTGATCTGACTGACTGCTTCTAACTTTGTAATATACTTCATCATCTGGGTTGGTAGAATATTAATACATATTCAGTACTTAAGATTTCCACCGCTCACACACATACATGGTTCTTACTACAGCCAATGTATTAGCACATTCAATCCCCACAATCCATGAGGCTGGTACTGTTATCAGCCAGGAAAGGAAACTGAGCTGCAAAGGGCTCAGGTGACCTGGGTATGACCACAAAGCTGTGAAATGCTGCAGCTGCTGCCACGGAAGCCAGGAAACCTAGGTCCAGCTCCATGCTCTTTCTTAGGAACCGCCCACTTCTACGCTGTGCAGCCTGCGCCCACTGTACACTGCCCACCTTCCGAATCACGCAATACAGCAGCCTCCCTTATCCAGGAGCCTGTGTTCAAAGACCCCCAGGGGATGCCTGAACCCTACCCTATAGACACTAAGTTTTTTCCCACACATAGCTACCTATGATGAAGTTGTTTTATTTATGAATTAGGCACAGTAAAAGATAAACAATAACGACTAATAAAAATAGAACAATTATAACAATATACTGTAATAAAAGTTAGGCAAAGGGTCTCTTTCTCAAAATATCTTGCTGTATTGTACTCACCTACTTTCAGCTCCGGCAACTGAAGCCAAGGAAAGAGAAACCAAGGATAAGGTGGGGAACTATTCTATTAGGATTGAAAAGCTCTTAGGTTTGCAATCCTGGAATAGAGCTTTGGGACCCCCCTGGAGAGGCCAAACACAGAAAGGGCAGGCCTTTCCGAAGCACTTGAAAAGCACTTCCCATCTGTGCAAGATGAGTGGCACGGAGGTTCCAGGCGCGCCCCCTGAGCTGCGGTTGTGGGACGCCACTGGCCCAGGTCCCCCCGCGCCGGAGGGGACGCACCTTTGGTCAAGGTGAGCTTCCAGGTCGTGTAGTCGCGGAAGGCGCGCTGATGCTCGGCCTCGGCGCGCGCCTCCAGGTCCTCCTGCTTGTCCTCCAGCTGCAGCTGCCGCCGCAGGCTGGTGTGCTTAGCCGACACTTTCGAGGAGTAGGTCATCTTCTGGTGCACCCGCATCGTCTTCTGCTGCTGCCGTTCCTGGGGGCGTCGGGCCAAGTCGGGCGGGGCCCAGGCTCCCCACCCGCGTCCAGGCCTCCCCGCGCGGTTCCCCATTCCTAGGGACGCGGGTTTGCGCGCGAGGACGCGGGGACCTGAACACTGCTGTCCCGGGCTGAGAGCCAAGCAGGCAGGGCAGCTGTTGGGGAGGCCATTTGCCCCCGAGAAGGGCGCCAGTCAGGGTCCCTAGGTCAAACACAGGCTGCCCGGTCAGATGAGCACTCCAGACCCACAGAGGGGGCACGCTTACCCGAAAAGATGATGTCTCATTTTCTCCGAAATCCACATTTAAGTGAGAGCCGTATATTTTGATGACCAACCCAGGGGCAGGGAACCTAGAGGCTCTGGGGTTCCCGAAGACTACGACTGTGTAGTGGGTGTAGCCTAGCTGGAAGGTCACCGTTGGTGGCCATCTCCACCTGCTCTCCACCCCACTCCAGCTCCTGTGCGGCCTGGGGGTGGCTTCGAGCCAGCCCTCCCTTGGGAGAAAACTTTCGGAGGAGCAGGAAGGCAGGACTCACCTCCCCACACCCCGACCCCGCCCCGTGTCCCTCTTGCTGTCCTGTTCTCACAGTGGGGACATCCCCTGCCAGCTCCACACCCCCTCCCACTTTTCTGCACCGGCCCCGGGAGTCTCTTCACGTAGACTTTCTGGGGTCACTTCCGTTTCCTGCTGGGACCTACCAGGTACACAAACGGCATCTAAGAACCCAGGCAAATGGGTCCAGCCTGAGGCCCCTGGAATGCACGTCCCCATCACTGCAGTCAGGAAAATGTCACCTACTGTATCCTCAGGGTACAAGGTGGCCTTTAGAAGACATTGGGCAGCTGACTGAGGGCAGGGCCAGACTGAGGGGGACCCTGTCGGGAGGGGGAGGTTGTGAGTGGTGGATGCTGGGTGGGGGAGGGTATAAGTGGGAGAGCCTGCCGGGTAGGGGAGGTTGTGAGTGGGAGACCCTGCTGGGTGGGGGAGGGTTTGAGTGGGGGACCCTGTTGGGTGGGGGAGGGTATGGTTTGGTGATCCTGTTGGGTGGGTGAGGTTGGGGTTCGGTGACCCTGTTGGGTGGGTGAAGATGGCGTTTGGTGACCCTGTTGGGTGTGGTGGAGAGAGTGTGTTGGGTGAGACTCTTAGTGGAAGGTGGGGGAGGCCTCGAGCTAGGCTGGGCTTGAGTGTAGAGGAAAACCGAACGCCTCATTGGAGAAGATACAGTAGGGTGGCCAAGGCGTGGGTCAGAGAGTCTCTGGGTCTCAGCCAGTCTAGGAATCACAGCCCACAGGCCCAGCCCTGGTCTCTGATGTGGAGGCCTGGGCAGGGCTGAAGCCTGTGCATCTCCACCCATGCCCTACAGATGCCAGTGTAGCTGTTGCTGCCTTGGGAACCACAGCTGTGAGGAATCTCAGAGACGCTGAGCCCTGAGTCAGGGCGAGGTGATGGAGTCTGTGGGGCAGCCCAGGTGCGACCCTGGGAAGGCTGCCATGCCTGGCACGTGGGGCAGGGCTGGGTGCCCAAGGCAGCAAGAGTGGGCTGTCCCCACTCAGGGCTCACAGCTCTCAGGGCTGGGAAAGCAAGAGGACAGGCTGGGGTGAAGATGGGGCAAGAGTGGGGTCGGTGCTGGCCCAGGGATCCTAGGCACCCGGAGGAGCACGTGTGTGCGTGCCGTGGGCGGCTGTGTGTGGGTCTGACCTGCAGGGGTCCAGCCATAGGGACGGCACAAGGCCTGAGCAGCAGGGGGTGCCTGTGGGATGGGAGAGGGCCTGTGAGGGCTGAGCTGGGCCTTGGAGGACCCGGAGAGTGTCAGGAGAGGATGGCATTTCACGCAGGCAGCAGTGGAAGTGGCGGCGAGGTGGCTGAGGCTGTTGCCACAGCAGCCCAAGAAGTCTATCTGACCAAGACCCAAGAAGAGTGGTGACAGACGGGAAGATGGGTGGGATGCTGTGAGTCCTGAGAGCCAGGTAAGGTTTCCAGCTGATTTTATAGTAAGTGGTGAGCTATTGACTATTCTGGAATGAGAAGGACCTGAGGAAAGTGCTCCTCTGAGAAGGGCAATGTGGCCACTCCAGGAAGCAGTGGGAGCAGGGAAGCTCCCGGAGGTGCTGGCGTCTGTCCTGGATACTCACGGAGAGAGCCTTATTCCGCTCCTGATCTCTGAGCAAGAAGAAATCCACATCCCCAGATAAGTGGAAAGGGTTCGCTGAAGGGTCAGGACCATGTTCTGGAAAGGGAGACACCTCTCTGGAAAGGGGAGCCAGCTCTTCCAGGCGGTGGTCTCTGTCTCTGGGGCCCCACTGCCTTCCCAGCCCAGCATGGAAAAGCATGAGTGAGTGGGAAGGTTCCCCCTGGATCCAGCTGTGCCTAAAGTCCAACCCTGGACCTTCCACCTCCAGCAAGGCACCTCTGTAGTTTAACCTGGTTCAAGTTGGGCTTCTGTCCCTGGCCCCTGAAAGAGAGCTCGTGAGCACAGCCTTGTCTCACACGTCTGCCCTCAGCCAGCCCTCACTGCAGGCCTCTGGAGTCTCCCTTATGGAGAAGGGAGGCCGAGCCTGCTGTTTGTTAGTGATGGGCCTGGTGACCAGGGTCTGCTGACACTGAACTCATGGCCCTTGCTGTGGGCCTCCAGGTGAACTTGCATCTGTCTCTTCAGGCCTCTCCAGTCCTCCCAGGGAAGGCCAAGAACAAAGTGCTTCAGGCCTGGGGAGGGCCCAGAGGCCCAGAGAGGGGCTTGTGAAGCTTTGCTTTGCAGGGTGGACTCTTGTCCCACTCCTAATTCTACACACTGACTGCAATTCAGAGACGGAGCTGATGCCAGCAGCCTCCCTGTGAGCCTCAAGCAGCCAAGAAGTCAGGTGGAGAGGGTAAACTAAGCACATGGGCTGCCTTCCCCACCAGCCCAACCCCAACCCCCCAGAAATGTTAGAAAATAAATTTAAAACTCTAGGACAGCTCTGGAAGACAGGGAGGGTGACTCTGGTGTCACAGAAGTTCTGGGAGAGGGCAGGCAGGTGGGATGGGGTAAGGAGGTGCAGCCTGGCACAGCTGCGGGGACAAGGGCATGGAGGGCAGTGTGAGGCTCCAAGGCTCTGGGTGGCAGACACTGGGACACAAGCAGCTAGTGGAGGAACTGCCAGGCACCCGCTTCACCTCCCCAATCTGCACTCGCTCTCCCTTCTGCTTCTGTCTAGCAACTCAACCAGGGCAGAGGTGTTTGCCCTCAATTAGGAATCATGGGACCTGGTGCTTGATCAGAGGGGCAGAGAAGTAAAATTCTTTATGCTCCCAAACTGGTGATGAACACGCATGGGCGGCCCATCCCATGTCCCCATCACAAAAGCAAATGGATAGCTAGCAAGCATCCAGCACTTGCCATGGGCCAGACTGGGGACTTTCTGTGATTTAATGTTCCTGACCACCCAAGGAGGTGGGAATCATGGTTACTCCCATTTTACCTGTGAGGAACTGAGGCTCAGAGCAGTCAGATACTCTGCCAAGGTCCCATAGCTGTAAGTAGCTATGGGGAGACTGGCTTAAGAAGTCAGACACTGCACCTGCAGTCCGGTGACTTGGGAGTGGTCAGAATTCATGTGAAGATGATTGATGTGTTTAGGTGAAGATGAGCCCACCCCAAAAATGGCAGTCATTTGAGGCTAATCATTCCAAAAATGCAGAGTTGGTTGAATATTTTTAAGCCGATCAATGTAATACCTTCCATTAACAGAATAAAGAAGGAAATGATATAATCATTTCAAGAGATGCAGTAAAATTATTTGATAAAATTCAAAGCTTATTTTTGAATAAAACTCTTAGCAAGTAGGAATAGAAGGGAACCCCCCAATCTGATAAAGGGTATTATGCTTTGGTTGAGTAACAGCCCCCAAAGATGCCCGTGCCCTAATCCCCAAACCTGTGATAGTGTCACCTTCTATGGCGAAAGGGCCTTTGCAGATGTGATTGAGCTAAGGATCCTGAGGTGGGGAAACTGTCCCGGCATGTCCAGGTGGGCCCAGTGTAACCACGGGGGACCTTGTAATTGGGAGGCAGGAGAGTTGGGGCAGAACAAGGAGTGCAGGAAGAGAAGCCAAGGTGGAGTGATGTGATAGAAACACACGGAAATAAATAATCTGCTCTTGAATGACATCTGGGTTAACAAGGAAATCAAAATGGAAATTTGAAAATTCTTTGAATTGAATGATAATAATGAGATAAGTTATCAAAACCTCCAGGACACAGAAAAGCGGTCCCAAGAGGAAAGTTCATAGTGTTAAATGCCTGCATCAGAAAGTCTGAGAGAGCACAAACTGACAACCTCATGTCACACCTCAAGGAACTAGGGAAACAAGAACAAACTAAATCCAAACCCAGCAGAAGAAAAAAAATAGCAAATATCAGAGCAGAACTAAATGAAATTGAAACAAAAGAAATACAAAGGATAAATGAAACAAAAACCTGGTCCTTTGAAAAAATAAAATCTGTGTAGACCACTCACAAGATTAACCAAGAGAAGAAGAGAGAAGATCCAAATAAACTCAATTAGAAATGAAACTGGAGATATTCATCCACCACCACAGAAATACAAAAGATCATTTAAGACTACTACGAACATGTATGTGCACAAACAAAACCCAGAGGAAACTGGTAAATTCCTGGAAACACACAACTCTCCTAGATTAAATCAGGAAGAAATAGAAACCCTGAATAGACCAATAACAAGTAGCGAGATTGAATCCATAATTTAAAAATTGCCAACAAAAAAAAAGCCCAAAAGCAGATGGATTCACAGCTGAATTCTACCAGACATTCAAAGAAGAATTGGTACCAATCCTACTAAAACTATTCCAAAATATTGAGAAAGAAGAGATCCTCATAGAATGAAGCCAGTATCACCCTGATACCAAAACCAGGAAAGGACACGAGCAAAAAAAAAAAAAAAAAAAAAAAAAACCAACAACAACAAAAAAAACTACAGACCAGTTTCCCTGATGAACATAGATGCAAAAATCCTCAACAAAACATTAGCTAACTGAATCCAACAGCACATCAGAAAGATAATTCATCGTGATCAAGTGGGTTCCATCCCAGGGATGCAGGGATGGTTCAGCATACACAAGTCAATACATGTGATACATCACATAAGCAGAATTAAAACAAAAACCATATGATCATATCAAAAGATGCAGAAAAAGCATTCGACAATATTCAGCACCCCTTTATGATAAAAACTCTCAACAAACTGTGCTGCTACCTTCGAAGACAGAGTGAGAGGCTTGAGCCAAGTGATGTGGGCAGCCACCTCTAAAGGCTGGAAAAGGCAGGAAGATGGATTTTTCTCCCAGCCTCCAGGAGGAAGGCAGCCCTGCCAATGCTTTGGTTTAGTCCTATAAGACTTCTGACTTCCAGAACTGTAAGATGAGCTATTTGTGCTGCTCAAAGCCTTTGAGTTTGTGGTGATTTGTCACAGCAGCAATAGGAAATAAATACAGATATCTACAAGAAATCTGCGGATGACATACTGAATGTCCCTCCACCCATGTAGGATCAGACCAGGAGCAAGGCAAGGATGCCTGCTCTTTACATTGCTATTCTGCATTAAAATGAGGGTCCTCACTGGGAGAGTGATTCAAGAAAAAGAAATAAAAAGGCTGGACAGGGTAGCTCATGCCTGGAATGCCAGCACTTTGGGAGGCTGAGTGGGGGGATCACTTGAACCCAGGAGGTCGAGGCTGCAGTGAGCCGAGATGGCACCACTGCACTCCAGCCTGAGTGACAGAGTGAGACCCTGTTTCAAAAGAAAAAAAAAAGAAAGGCAGAAAAGGTATAAGGATCACAAAGGAAGAGAAAATAATGCCATTCAAGGTGACATGATTGTATAGTAGAAAACCCAAAGGAATCTATAAATGAAATGGTTACGATTAGGTCAATTAAGATGTGGTTTGTAGGTCTTATTGTGAAAGTAAAACAAAAAGTTGTAGAAGACACAATCAGAGGATATCATGACCTTGGGGGTCACTAAAGAGTTTTAAAATAAGACACTAAAAGCCATAATGAAGAAACGATTGAGCTGCATGAAACTGAGCTACACTAAACTTAGGAACTTTTTTTTTTGAGACGGAGTCTCGCTCTTTTGCCCAGACTGGAGTGCAGTAGCAAGATCTTGGCTCACTGCAACCTCCGTCTCCTGGGTTCAAGCAATTCTCCTGTCTCAGCCTCCCGAGTAGCTGGGACTACAGGCTCCCAACACCATGCCCAGCTAATTTTTATACTTTTAGTAGAGACGAGGTTTCATCATATTGTTCAGGCTGGTCTCGAACTCCTGACCTCAGGTAATCCACCCGCCTCGGCCTCCCAAAGTGCTGGGATTACAGGGGTGAGCCACTGTGCCCAGCCAGGAACTTTTTATTGGTGCCTTTTAGCACCACTCAGAGAGTGAAAGGCAGTCCCAGGAGTGGGAGAAGATATCCGTCATACTCAGAACTAGCAAATGACTTCTATCCAGTAAAGAGCTCCAAGAAATCGTTAAAATAAACAGGCAATGCAACAAACAAGTGGGCAGAAGATGGAAACAGGTACGTCCCAACACAGAATCATCAAATGGCCCAGAACTATATGAAAAGGCAATTGCTCTCCTGGGTTACCAGGAAATATGAGATACTAACATATACCCAGAGGACAAAGTCATATTAAAAGGATCGATGGTGTACCAAGTTGGAGAGGACACAGAACAACTGGAAGTCATATGCCTGTTGGTGGGACTGTGAATTGGTACAGTCCCTCTGGAAAACTTCATTTATCCACTAAAGTTAAACACACGACCAGCAATTCCACTCTTGGGTGTGTACCCAGGAGACGCAAGTGCTTATGTCCCCAAAGTGACATGTACAAGACTTCATAGCAGTATTATTTGTAAAAACTGGAAACAACCTAAATGTTCACCAGCAATGGAAAGAATAAATGGTTGGCATATGCACAGAAGGGACTCTGGCTAGGTGCAGCAATGTGGATGCTTCTCCCAGACGGGATATGAGCGAAAACTGAAAGGATAGACAGTGTGCGATTCCATTTACAGGAGGCTGGAGAGGAGAGCCAGTGGTTTGGTGGGGATAGCTGAAGAGTGCCTGTCTCTGGGGGACGGATAATTTCTGGGGAGATGGAAATGGTCTAGATCTTCATAGGGTGGAGGAAACACATTGTACACATTTGTCAAAACTCATAAACTGGGCCAGGTGCAGTGGCTCACGCCTGTAATCCCAGCACTTTGGGAGGCCGAGGCTGAAGCACTGATTGAGCCCAGGAGTTCAAGGCCAGCCAAAGCAATATGGTGCAACCCTGTCTCTACAAAAAATACAAAAATGAGCCAGGTGTGTTGGTGCGCACCTGTTGTCCCAGCTACCCGGCAGGCTGAAGCAGGAGGATCGCTTAAACCCAGGAGGTTGAGGCTGCAGTGAGCTGTGATCGAACGACTGCACCTGCACCTCAGCCTGGGTGACAGTGTGAGACCCTGTCTCAAAAAAGGAAAGGGATAGATGGGTGATTGGGTGAATGGCTGCCTTGATAGTTTGTGCGGAGGGTCAGGTGCTCGCCCCCAGGACTTTCTCCCTCCCATGCCTCTGCACCCACAGCAGATGCGGGTGCTGCCTCTGCCCATGAGAAGAGCCTCATGACCAAGGGGAGCCGGGATCTAGTCAAGCACCTGGGGCTAATGTCCAAGGGCAGGAAGGATGGGCACAGAGAAGCAGTCCCAGTGCCAGCATCAGGAAGCAGACACACAAATGCAGAATGGGGACACTGGGGCTTGCTGCAGGAGAGGCGACACCACTGCTCAACAAGTCAAAGGCCAGAGAGTGATGGGATGGGCCAGGGAGGGGGCTGCTAGATTCACAGAGACTGAAGGAGCTCAGGTCTTCTTTGAATTCTGATTAGAAAGAATCTTCTACGGAAAATGTTTCTGGGATTACTGGGCCAGTCTGACCATGGGTTGGGCTGGTTCACTTTGTCGGGTGTGGTGATGGTGCTTGGGTTTGTGTGGAAACACCCCTATTGTTGAGAAGTGCACGCTGAAGTGGATGAAATGACATGTCTGGATTTTACTTTAAAATGTCCTGGCAAAGAAAAAGAGAGAAAGGACAGAGGAAGCAAATGGGCACATTTGAGTCAGTGGCAGAACCTGGTGGTGGGCCTGTGAAACTCGTTGGCTCCAATCTCTACATCTGGACATGTTTAAATTTTCATTTTATAATTTCATAATAATAAAAGAGAGGAAATGTGGTGGGGAGAGGGGTGGGAGCCTGGGCCATGGAGCACAGGCTGGGAGAAATGCTCACATCTGCAGACCTCTGCAGAAGGATCAGACTGGTCTGTTAGCCCAGGGGCAGAGCGGGAGACAGCAGGGAGTCCAGGCAAGGGAGGTCGGAGCCACAGTGCAGGTGGCAGCGATGCCCTGTTCAGGGCTACCAGGGTGAGGCACATGCAGCTAGCTAGCTACCTGCCCTCCTTCCTCCTAACGGTGGCAGCAGTGTGCCCTCCTTATAGATCCTGATGGCCATATGGCAAATTTAGCTGCTGGAATGTGGGAAGACATTGCTGCTTGGAACTTTTGGGAAAAATCCCTTCCCCTAGAAGGCTAAGTTGGCTGAAGGGTAGTTTTGCCCTTCCCTTTGTTACTTTTCCCTGCCTGGAATCAGATGTGCTGAGGCTGGAGCTGCAGCAGCCATTTTGTGAGCATGAAAGCCCTAATTGTGGTTGAAAGCCCTAATTCCTTTCTGGTGGAGCAGAGAGACTTGGGGACCTGGTCACCTGAGTGATTTTATGGAACTGCTGTTAGTGGAGCCTCAAGAAAGTCTGCATTTCGTCCCACATTTCTCATTAACAGAGGGAGCAATAAATCCTACTTTGTTTACATGCCTGTTATTTCAAGTCAACCCAATTCCTAATGGAAAGAGAAACATTTCCTTCTGCCCTTAGCTCTAGAGACCTGGTCTGAGGGGATCTGGGGGCAGAGGGAGAGGAGTTGCCTCCTGCCAACTTGGACTTTAGCCTCCCAGCTTGAAGGTTACCTTCGTTTTTTCTTGCCTGTTTCTTTGGGTTCTCTTCAGTGCTTGAAGAAGAGCTGATGTTCATGGATTCCAGGCTGTTCTCTGAGGAGACACAAAAGTGAGGGCCGCAGCAGTGACTCCCCTGGCCCATGAGAACTGTGAACACAGCCTGAGGCGGGGAATGTCTCAGACACACAAAGGCTCAACCTCAGCTCCCTCCCCTGTGAGACTGAGGGCTCTACATCCCAGAGATCACACTGACTTTGCTGGGAAGTTGTGAGAATTGTGCAAGAAAATAGCCTGAGAAGTCCCTGGCACCTGTGCCTGGTGCACGGATGTTTTGTGCCTCCCCTTTCCCATCCTTCAGTGTGTTCCTTAAGAGTAGCAGTGCAAGGCTGTTTTATAGATGGACATACCGGGACCCAGGGAGGACAAGGACCCCAAGCCTCTGACCCCGGCGTGGCCAGTGCCTTGCCTCCCAGGGGCTTCCTGCTGGACTTGGATGGAGGCCCCTAAGACCCCACCTCCTCAGGGAGCTGCCACCCCTATCCCACCGTGAGGAGTGGCCCTTCTGACCAAGCTGGAAAACTGGGGTTGTGCTGCCTGGAAGCTAGAGCCATTTTCTCCCCAAGGCCAGCAAGTCTCCTTCCCGCCCGGGGTGGGCTCCCCAGCACCCTGTTTCTTCAGGTGACTACTCAGGTGTTACTGCTGGGTCTCCAATGCCTTGCTGTGCTGATACCCACAGGGAAAGAGACATGTGGCCGGACACTTCCTCCACTCCCACCCAGGAATACTTTGCAGCTCGGAGATCCTGGTCGGTGCCTGAGGGGCAGGGGCTGCCAGAACGTGGTCTCCGGTGGGCTGCTCAGGGTGCCAGTCCTCCTGGGGCGGGATGGGGGAGGGACTGTGTGGTCCCGGAGTGAAACACTGAGCGGGAAGACAGGGTTTCTCATGAGGTGGGGCTATGATACCAAGGCCTGGGCCCTGAGCAAATGGTCATGGGGTGAGGGAAGAGTGAGGAAGATGGCGGGAGTCTTGTGGGACAGGCGGGAAGGCCAGGCCTGGGCTGAAACTCAGAGGCCTTCGGGGCCACACAGAATCCATAATGTATAGTCGGGGAGGCAGAGGCGGTCGGGAGAGGTGAGGCTGGGGAGAACTCAGGGGCTCGGTTGCTGAACCATGATTGTCCTCTAACTATCTTAGTAGGCATGTGGTTACATTTCCAGATAGAATTTAATTAACCATATCATATAAATCAGAAGATACCACTGCTATTTAAATAGACCAAAACCCAAACGACACAAACCAAAACCCTATTAGAAATGAAAAAGCAATGGATCTGGATGTGGTCCCAGTTACTAGGGAGGCTGAGGGGGGAGGATCCTTTGAGCCCAGGAGGTCGAGGCTGCTGTGAACCATAATTGCGCCACTGCACTCCAGCATGGGTGACAGGGTGAGACCCTGTCTCTAAAACAAGAAAGAATGAAAGAGCAATGCACATACATAGCACATATTTCAAACAACACAGGTTTGATGTATTGATATGATGAAATAGCCTCACCTGAAGCTCTTGCTACCTATATACATTTTATTTATTTATTTATTTATTTTGAGATGGCATCTTGCTCTGTTGTCCAGACTGGAGCACAGTAGCACAATCTCGGCTCACTGCAACCTCTACCTCCCAGGTTCAAGCGATTCTCCTGCCTCAGCCTCCCAAGTAGCTGGGACTACAGGTGTGCACCACCACCCCCAGCTTATTTTTGTATTTTTTGTAGAGATGGGGTTTCACTATGTTGGCCGGGCTGGTCTTGAACTCCTGACCTCAGGTGATCCACCCACCTTGGCCTCCCAAAGGGCTGGGATTATAGGTGTGAGCCACCATGCCAGGCCAAGATTTTTGCAGCTCTGACTAGAAGTATTTTATGCACACATACACTTATATGCCCTTGGTTTTTCACTAAAAAGCTCACCTGCTTACACACAAAAACAGAAATGAACCTTAAGGACATTACACTTAGTGAAACAAGCCAGCCCCAAAGGACAAATACTGTATGCTGCCACTCACAGGAGGTCCCTAGAGCATTCAGAGACTAAGTAGAACAGTGGTCGCCAGGGCTAGGGGAGGGGGAATGGGGAGGAGGTTCAGTTTGGGGATGAGAAGAGTTCTGAGATGGATGGTGGTGGTCGCACAGCAGTGTGAATGTGGTCAATGCCACCGAACCATACATTTAAATATAGTTAAGATGGTCAATTTTATGTGTATTTCATCAAAATTTTAAGACTTGAAAGAAAGTTCATCTGTGACCGGGCGTGGTGGCTCACGCCTGTAATCCCAGCAGGGAAGCTGAGGTGGGTGGATCACGAGGTCAGGAGATCGAGACCATCCTGGCCAACATGGTGAAACCACGTCTCTACTAAAAATACAAATATTAACCAGGCGTGGTGGTGTGCACCTGTAGTCCCAGCTCATTGGGAGGCTGAGGCAGGAGAATCGCTTGAACCCAGGAGGTGGAGGTTGCAGTGAGCCAAGATTGTGTCACTGCACTCCAGCCTGGGCGACAGAGCGAGACTCCATCTCAGAAAAAAAACCTCATTTTCCCTGCTCTGTGAATGACCGGGAGAGACTGGACACCAGAACTCCCACTTCCAATCACTAGACTTTGTTACCGATTAACTGCCTCTTTATTGTCCCATACCTAATTCAGAGCAGATGGCACCCAGGACCCCATGACAGTTGCATCTTCAGTGTGGAATGATAAATATACTTGTCCAGAGAGAAAAGGACCCCTTAGCGAGTCAGATCCTTGTAATGTGCAGGCAGCCTTCCATAGAAGGATGCTGAAATTCTGCTAAACTTCCCAAAGCTTTGTCTAGATAAACAATCTCAAACTTCTACACTTTGGAACATGGACTTTCATTCTCTGGATCTCTGATTACTGGGTGGCCTGTACTTCTCCTCAACTTCGTGCTTGGAGAAACTCTAAACCTGATTCTGACTCTTTTGGTTATTTTAGCTTGATACTCTTCCATCACCAACTTTAGTGGGACTGCTTTCCCTACACCAGAAACGGTCACTCTAACAGGTCACAAAGGGCATCTCAGTTTTCATCTGCATTTCTTAATTAGGAAGAAACTGTGTGTCTTTTTGGATGTTAATTATCCATCTTCTTGCCTCATTCTATTAGTATCCTTTGCCCATTTCTCTACTGAAATGTTCTAGTTTCTAGACGATTCTTGAGAACCTTCATCTATTATATTGATGGACACTGGCTTATTTGTCAGAGCTGCTGAAAATAATTCTCCTTCAGGCAATTTGACTTTATCATTCATTTTCCTTGTATGAAAATTTAACTTTTGCTTAATGAAATGCTTTGGGGTTTAGTGTCTTGTTTAGAAAGGCATTCTGCCGCTGAAGTTTAAATATTTTTTAGAAAAAAAAATGGTGTTTTCTTCTAGTATTTTAACATGATTTAATTTTTTAACTTAAAAAGTCTTTATTAAAGTGTAAGTCTACTTTTATAATAATTCAGGAGAGATAGGAAAAGAATGAACTGGGTGTGAAACATTCTCATAAAAAAGGATACAATAGGCCAGGTGCGGTGGTTTACGCCTGTAATCCCAGCACTTTGGGAGGCCGAGGAAGGTGGATCACTTGAGGCCAGGAGTCCAACTACAGCCTGGCCAATATGGTGAAACCCTGTCTGTACTAAAAATACAATAATTAGCCAGGCATGATGGTGCACCTGTAATCCCAGCTACTCTGGAGGCTGAGGCAGGAAGATAATTTGAACCTGGGAGGTGGAGATTGCAGTGAGCCGAGATTGCACCACTGCATTCCAGCCTGTGTGATAGAGTGAGACCCTGTCTCAAAAAAAAAAAAAAAAAAAGATAAAATACACTCGACTGGGCACTCCACTCATGTGACATGAGTTCCAAACATCCTCTATCCATCGGAGTCTTTTGGGCTGTGTCCCGGGCCATTCTCTCTCCTTTCCTCCTAGACGCCTCACCAGTGCCCATGGCTTCAGTTCCAGCCCCAGCGGATTTGCTGATGCCCTCACGTTTCCGCCTACTCTCCTGACCTCTGGGCCTCCATCCACAGCAGCCTCTTCAGAGTCTCGGCTGGGAGTTTCCCACAGGACACTGACACCTACACATCGCCAACTGAGCTCCTGGCCTTCCCCCTCCTGCGAAACCTGCTCCACCCCTGGCCTTGGCCATCTCAGCAAACAGCACTGTGATGCACAGGTGTCACTGAGGAGACAAGGCATCCCCGACACCCTCTTCTCCCTCATTCCACACCTAGTCACCAGATCCCACAGACTCTGTCTCCTGAGGAGCACTGGACCCATCCGCCCCTGCCACCTGCACCCTCACCATCATCCTATTTGCTGGTTCTCTGTGATTGCCCCCACCTGGACTCCCCACAGCAAGTCTGGACTGCACCCCCCACCACCGACCCCCAGGCAGTAAACTCCTGGAAGGCAGGCATATTAACCAAGTCTTCTCATTTAGATGCTTTGACCTCTGGGGCCTTCCTGAGCCTAGAGGACCTTCCCTTCCCTCCCCTCCCCCTCGGATTAGCTAATCCCTGGAGATAGAAAATGACTTGCCCAGAGCACACCTTTCAAATGCAAACCACCCAATCCAGAGCCCACACCCCAGCCACAGCCTCTGTCAGTCTGTCACTCTCAGGACCACTGATCCCTGCCCTATCCCCCCAGAGCCAGGACCAGACAACCAGGGGCAGCCCTGTGCCCCAGAACCCCGAAACTATTCTAACAAATCAGTCCTACACCTGCTCACTCACCTCACCGTTCCTTCCTGTGATTCCACAGTGGAGGCTCCTGCCCACGTCCCCCTTTCCCTCGGGCTTTCTGGCTGACCCTGCAGCTTCCCCCGCACAGCCCTGCGTGGTGCACCCCCTTCTGTCCTAGGGATCTGTGAGTAAGCAGCCATCTCTCCAGTGACAGTCATCTCCTGCTCTGTTGGCCTCACCACACAGCAATAATAAAACCTGTGTTTTAAACCAGCAGGAGCCATGTTTGTCCCATCCCTCACCACCCCCAGGACTGGGTTAGTGATGGTGCCAGACAGTGGCCAGGCCTCCTCAGAGTGGCATCTGCCTGGCCACAGCTGTGGGCGCTTTCTCAGGGTCAGGTGTGGCTGGGGATGCCGCCCTGAAGGAGGTGCCATGCCTACCTTCCTGGAGTCCACATTCTGGACCGGCAACAAGCACATAAAATAAAGAGAAGTGAGAGATATTCCAGTAGCTGGGGCAATCAGGGAGCCCACGGAGGAGGCACCATGGGAGCAGAGCCCCAAGGGGAGTGTGGTGACAGCGTGGGGTCATGGAGGCAAAACCTGCAGGCAGAGCTGAAGAGGAGCCACTGGGGCCAGCATGGCTGGCAGGGTGTGAGCCTGGGGAGCACAGGGATGAGGCCCTTGGGAGCCACAGAAGGACCAGGGTTTGGCAGGGATGTTCCCCACGGAATTGGGCCACGTCTCCTTCCCACTCACAGGTCAGTGTCCTCCCCTGCAGCTGGGCACACCCACACCTCCCTCCATCTCCTCCCCCTCCCACCTGCTGCTCCCTCTCCCGAGACACTCTCTCTGGGCTGCCCATCCCCATTATTCACCATCTCTACTCAAATGTCACCTTCTCCAGGAAGCCTTCCTGATCCCCCTGTCTAAATGCTTCCCACCACAATCACTGAATCAGCCTCCTATTTCAGCACTGCTGGGAACCATCCTGTCTATTTAGTTGTTTACTTCACTTATTTAACACATTTTAAGAACACATTTTTTGATTGCAGTAACATAATACTATATATATATATATATATATATATATATATATATATATATATATAAAATACGATTTGCCATTTTATGCCATTGAAACTTTTTTAGTATGGTAAAATATAAATATAACATAAAACTTGCTATTTTAATTATTTTTAAGTGTACAACTCAATAGCATTAATTACATTCACAATGTTGTACAACCACCACCAATATCTATTTCAAAAACTTTTCATCATCCCAAACTGAAACTCTGCGTGCATTAAACAACTCCCCATCCTCCCCTCCCCAGCCCCGGTGGCCTCCATTCCCCCTTCTGTCTCTATGACTCTGACTGCTCCACTCACTTATATGAGCGGAATCATACAATATTTGTCTTTTTGTGTTTGGCTAATTTCACCAGCATAAGGTTTCCCAGCTCATTTGTACTGTAGCATGTATCAGAATTCCCTTCCTTTTTGAGGCTGAATAGCACTCCACTGCATGGATGCACCACATGTTCTGTATCTGTTCCTCCATTGATGGATACTCAGGCGGCTTCCACCGCTTGGCTATTGTGAATAACACTGCTGTGAACATGCGTGTGCTAATATCTGAGTTCCTGCTTTCCGTTCTTTTAGGTACATATCTAGAAGTAGAATTGCTGGATCATATGTTAATACTGTTTAACTTTTTGAGGAACTGCCTATTTTTCTTTTCTTTTCTTTTTTTTTTGAGACGGAGTCTCGCTCTGTCGCCCAGGCTGGAGTGCAGTGGCGCAATCTTGGCTCACTGCAAGCTCCGCCTCCCGGGTTCACGCCATTCTCCTGCCTCAGCCTCCGGAGTAGTTGGGACTACAGGTGCCCGCCACCATGCCCGGTTATTTTTTGTATTTTTAGTAGAGACAGGGTTTCACCATGTTAGCCAGGATGGTCTCAATCTCCTGACCTCGTGATCCGCCCGCCTTGGCCTCCCGAAATGCTGGGATTTTAGGCGAGAGTCACCGTGCCAGGCTGGAACTGCCTATTTTTCTCAGTGGTTGAACCATTTTACACTTTCACCAACAATGTAAAAGGGTTTCATTTTCCCCACATCCTCGCCAACACCTGTTATTTTTGTTTGTATTTTTTGATAGTAGCCATCCTAATGGGTGTGAGGTGGTATCTCATTTTGGTTTTGATTTGCATTCCCTTAATGACTGATGATGTTGAGTATCTTTTCTCCTGCTTGTAGATCATTTGCATATCGTCTTTTGAGAATTATCTATTCAAGTCCTTTGCCCAGTTTTGAATTGGGTTGTTTGCTTTTTGTTGTTCTTGTTGAGTGTTAGGATTTCTTTCTATATTCTTGATATCAATCATTTGTCAAAGATTTCTAAATGTGAGCTAATGTCAGATAAAAGTCTAGCTCTCACAAGAGTGGAGGGGTTGGGGAAGGACAGCCCTTGACCAACAGAGCCGGGAGGTTGCTTTAGACCCTGGAGTTGGAACAATGGCCAGCCGCTGAGCCGGCCCCTCAGAAGCAGGCCATGATCAGCAATCAAACACACAGCCCAATTTTTGGAGGACAAGATCCTTATTTCCCACCCTGGCACCAGCAAGCTGTACCGGGAACACAGGCCACCTTCTCCTTGCTGCCTGCTGCAGGCTGGAGGCTGGTACAGCTGCTCCAGGAAATGCTAAAAATTCACTAAAATGTCCCAGCCTCCTCATCAAGATCTTCCCTGCAAGCTGCAAGCATTTCACTAAACTCCAGAGTTTCAGAAGAGTTGCTTCTGATAATTCACGCCAGCACAATTGTTTCAGGGGAGGGATTCCCAGAGCTTCCTACTTTGCCATGATGTCACCCCTGTTGTCAATGAGTGGCTTCATTTATGGGCTATTCATTGCTGGTGAACAGAGACAAACTGGTTTTTCTGTGTTGGTCTTGTAACCCACAACTTTGCTGAGTTCATTCATTTGCTCTAGTAACTTCCTTGTGGATTCTTTGAGATTTTCTATATATAGGGTTGTGTCATCTGTGAATAGTTTTACTTCCTCCTTTTCAGTCTGGGTCTTTTACTTCTTTTTTTCTTTTTCTTGCCTAATGACTCTGGCTAGAACTTCTAGTGCAATATTGAACAGCAGTGGTGAAGGTGGGCATCACTGTTTTGCTCTTGATCTTAGAGGGAGAGCTTGCAGGCTAACAGGTTTTGACTGAGGCCTGTGATGTTCCAGGCTCTGGGGGAACAAATGTCACTGCTGGATGGGAGTGAGACAGTAAGCAACACAGGTGAAGAAGGGTCAAAAGGCCAGAGGGTAGAACGTGCCACTGAGAAAATGAAACAGGGAACAGCAATGAGGGATGTAGGGCAGGTGGGGCACCGCGTTTTACCTTGTTTAGGGGAGGCCTCCCTGTGGAGCTGACATCTAAATGAGCTCCTGTGGGGTGTGAGGGAGGGAGTCCCAGGGAAACTGGGGAGAAGAGCATTCCCTGTGGAGGACACAGCAGTGCCAAGACACTGAGTGGGAGTGAACCAGGCCTGGCCTGGCCAGGGCTGCAGGAATGGATGGAGCCGGTGAAGTTGAGAGCTGTTTGCTGCACTCTACTAAATGCTCAGAGAGCAGGCGCCTCCGTCTCATGGCCCTCTGTGCCCCAGCCCAGCACAGTGCCTGACACACGGTAGGTGCTCCATGAACATTAGTGAAGTGACTGTGGGTCCCTGAGTGGCCTGATGTGGGCTGCATGTGTGGATGGCCCACTCTGCCCACGAGGCCACCAGGCCAGGCTTCGGATGTCCCAAGATGAAGGTTAGATTACTGAAGATCATGTTTCTCCACACTGCCAAATTAAACTCCTGCCTCCAGCCCTTCGCATCCCTCATAGCCAGAACTGGCAGGGGGAAGGCCTGGCCATCTGTGGTTTAACAACCTCTCTAGACCCCATGCCCTTCCTGAATGCTCCCATTGTGGGGGACGTGCACTTGAGAAGCAGCAGTGAGAGCCTGCAGGGCATCCTGGCCTGACGCGCATGCACACGGCTCCTTCAGCAGGGGCAAGCCTCTCCCAACCTGCTCCTTCTGGAGTCTTGTACCTGGAGCCTGGTGTCTTGGGAAATATATTTGGCCGCTCAAGGAACAAACTCTCCACACCCACAGTGAGGCTCAGGCAGGGTTCTGGCCCAGAGGGACCAGCCGCAGGCCCTCTCCTGACAAGTCCACGCGCGACCCCAGTGCCTCTCCTGGAACTGGCCCCGCACTGGGCTGGGTGCTGAGGGTGCAGGGCCAGAGCTCCGGGCATTCCTGCAGCCCCCACCCCTGCCCGCCCTGATGCCTCAAAGGAGGCTGTGGCCAAACCAGCCCCTCTGCCAAGGCTTAGGGAACAGCGTTCTCATCACAAAAGTCATAAAGCTAGACACTGAGCAGTCTCCCTCTTAAATCCTTCCCGTCATCTGGGCAGAGGCCAATAGTCCTCCCGGGCCACAGGCCCTACCCAGTTGGCCCATGCTGGCCTCCTGTCTCTCCCTTGAACACACCACGCCCACTCCCACCTCAGGGCCTTTGGGCCTGGCCAGCCGCCTAGAATGCCCTTTCCCTACTTGGCCTCCAGGCCCCTGCCCTGGGCCCTCTGGTTGAGGGGGGGTCCTATCTGTACTTGGCTCAGCATCCCCAAACCTCTCACTCCAGGTGGCTCAGTGTCATTTTGGCCCCTACCTTTGTCCCAGCTCCTGCAGCTGACCCCAGGACACAGAGCTCAGCAGTCCTCTTGACTGAAGCCCCTGGCCAGGTCCCCTGCCCACCTTGCCCATGCCAACCTCCCTGACCCACCTGACTCTGAGACCCCTGGCCCTGGGTGCCAATCCTGGCTCTGCCTGTCTGGCCTGGTTTTCTCACAAATGCACAGGCCCTCAATCAATCTCGAGGAATTACCAATGCCACAGGGTCATAGGGTACCCCAACTAGGCACTCCCCCTCATACCAATAAACAAATCAATATAGTTTACATGTCCTTCAACTGTCTTGTGGTAGCATAATTATCTGCATTGTTTTATGGGCACATTGAGAGTTAATTTGTTATCTATAAACATTTCAAAGCCATCTTTGTTTTTAAACCTTATTCCAGCCCTTCTTCATTTTAAAATTTACTCTGGAGCAAAAAAAGAACGAGAGAGCGTGTGCACACCTAAGTGTAATGGTGGGGGTCACTGTTTATAGCAGCACACTTTCTGAAACAAGCTAATCACCCATATGAACAGAGAATTGGTTAATAAATTATGATACAGCCATACTGAAAGATTACTATTCTACTCAAAAGCACAAAAAGTATAAGGGAATTCTTGATGTATTGATAAGGAACAGTCTCTACAATGTATGGGTTAATTAAAAAAATCAAGGTGCAGACAGGGTTTTCATTGTGTGATCTCCGTGTAAGAAAAGAACAAACCTCATCTACACACATTTGCCTGTATGTGCACTGAGCTGGTAGCCTAGAAGAGACAGGGGACAGTGGCCATCTCTAAGGAAGGGGCACTGTATGCCTTTGACAGGGTGGGAGAGGCTTTTCACAATGAGGGGCTTTTAACACACTTTTGAATTTTGAACCATGGAATACTATGCCTGGTCAAAACCAAATTAAATTCCAATAAAAAAGCTGAAGGGCCCCAGGTAGGCCTGGGCAGCCTCCCTCAGCGTCGCCCTGTGTGAGATCTTGGCAAATGCATGCAATTCCACTAGGGCAGGCATGTTTCATCCAGGGCCTAGCGCCAGCTGACCACCTCCTTGGAGCCCAGCCTGGCATTTGTGGTCAGAGGGGTGCTGAGAGAAGCTCACCTTCACGGTGACACCTTCCTCATGGTCTGTTGTGGGTTGAACTGTGTCATCCCAATTCGTATGTTGAAGTCCCAACCCCTACTGTCTCAGAATGTGATCTTGTTTGGAAATAAGGTCTTTGCAGCTGTAATTCACTAAGCTGAGGCCATTCTGGAGCGGGGTAGGCCTCCAATCCAATGTGATGGGGTCCCTGTAAAATGGGGAAATTTGGACACAGACACACACAGGCAGAATTCCACATGGGCAGGAAGGCTGAGATGGGAGTGATGCTTCTACAAGCCAAAGAGCACCAAGGATTGCCTGCAAAGCTCTGGAAACCAGGAGAGAGGCCCGGAATGGGTTCTCGCTCAGAGCCCTTGGAGGGACCTAGCCTTTTGGACAACTTGATCTCAGACATCCAGCCCCCAGAGCTTGAGAAAACAAATGTCTGTGACTCCAGCCCCCCAGTTTGTGGTGGTGCTTTGTTACAGCAGCTGCAGGCAATCCATATGCCTTGTTTCAAGGGAAGTAGGCAGATCTATGACTCCTGCCTAGTGTTTGGTTTAGAGCTACCTTAACCTGTGAGGGAGCTGGACAGGCTCCGAAGCTGCCCCTGACCTCTGAGAGTGCCCACCCTGGCCCGGTACTTACTGTCATTGGTCATGTTCTTGGAGACTATAGTGGACGGTATCTCAGACATCTTGGCTGAGGCCCAAGAGGTTGATGCAAGGCTTCTCCTCTTCTAAAGGAGATCCTCACCTGAGGAGTGACACAGTGCTTGAGCCTGGTGGTCCCCAAGCCCAGAGCTTCCTTCCCCCTGGGTGGCTGACAGCCACCGACATTTGCTGAGGGCTCACCTTGTGGGGACACCTGCCGGCTCCCTGCCTCTCCCACCCGAGGGTCCACTCTCACCTCCTGGACTTGGCTCTAGCTGCCTACTTTTTCTGTGCTTAGAACACATCAATCTTGGCCTCAAGCCTTTGCATTTTCGGCCTCCTCGGCCAAAAAATATTCTCCCATACCCAGCTGGGGGTGCTGGGCTTCCTTCTCTTCAATTCCGAGCTCAAATGTCACCTCTTTAGAGAGACCTCTCACCATCCCATCCAAAGTGGTTTCTTCCTCCCCACCCCCATGTGGCCTTTATTTTCTTCTCTGCAATTCCCACTATCTGATTATCACTTTAAAAATCCATTCGTTGTCTATTTCCCCCTAAAATGTGAGCTCCATGAGAACAGGGGGGTCTTTTCTGCTCATCCAAGCTCCTGACATACCCTTGGCACTTCTTAACTTCATCCATTGAATGAATTTTCATTTTTGCAGGGGAGGAAGCAGAGATTCAGCGAGGTGTCCAAAGTCACAGTCAGGAGGGGCTGCCTCTGGAAAGGGCCCCCACTCTAAGCTTGTGCCATTCCTGCCGCATTCCTGCTGCAGCCCCCTATTGGGTGAGCCTGGGGTTCGCAGGGTCGCCTCCTAACACCCGCGCTCTGCAAGGCCCCGAGCCACACAGCGAGGTGCACAGGGATGGTAGGACAGATGGGGTGGATGGTAGATGGGTGTGTTTCAAGCAAGTGGCATGCGAGCGGGCAGCCTTGGAAGGCGCCTTGCAAGTCCGCTCCCGGCCACGCGCGCCCCTCGGGCCCTGGTTTCGCACCCCTGCCGCCGCCCCCACGCGCCCTCACGGACCCCGCGCGCCCCCTCTCCCCGGACCGCGAGCGCACCCACCGACCCCGACTGCCCCGGCTCGCTCCGAAGCCTCCGCGCTGCAGTTCTCAGCTCCAGGAGCAGGGCTCTTGGGTTTACGTCTCCAAGGCAACCATTCTTCAGGCTGGCTGTGACGCCACAAAGGCCGCGGAGGCTGGGCGCTTGAGGGCTGGGCCTGCGGGCCGCGGGACAGGGAGGGCGCGGGGCCGGGCTGCTGGGTCCGAGCTCTGGGCACGATGTCCTCCCTGACGCCGCCAGGACAGCGCCTGGCCCAGGCCTGGGCCTGGTGAACGCGGGTTTCTTCCTCTGAGGTTCAACACTCCGCACTTGGGTTGGCTCCTTTCATCCTGATTGGTTTATTCGCCACGTGCCAAGCACTGAAGAGGGCGTGCAGGATGGATACTTTTGGAGCAAAAATAGCCCTGCTTCTTTCCTGGGGAGGGATCGCACTTTCTAGAGGGGCGGTTTTCAAAGTATGGTCTCAGGACTAGCAGCATCGAAAATGCTGGGAACTCGTTAGAAAAGCAAGTTTTCAATCCTCGCCCCAGAATCAGAAACTCGGGGTGGAGCCCAGCAATGTGTGTCCTGACAAGTCCACGCGCGACCCCAGTGCTGGCTAGGGTTGCAAAGCCACTGCTCTACGGAGCGAGCGAGATCCATCATAGTGGGACAAGCGAGAGGATGAGGCCATACAGACCAGGGCAAGTTTTGAGCGCGCAGATCCACCAGCTGCTTGAAGCCAGGGGCACCAGGATGTCTGGTCCCCCAGCTCAGGGATCCTGTCTCCCCACAAAAAGCAGCAGCAGAAGACCCCTCTTTGAGTTCTGAACATGTTCCTAGATTTTCCCAGTATCTATGGGGATTGAGAGATTGATAAAGGCTGCTTGGAGCTGAAAGCACAGTCAGTGACTCATCTTTTCAGGGACATTTAGGGGCTTCTGGGGGGACTCTGGAGCAGTCTGCAGCCCAGCAATGTAGTCCCAGTGAGGATCCCAGCTGTGCCAGGCTCTGCCTAAGGCCGGTGTAGTGGGTGGGAAGACCACATCCACAACAGGAACTCCATTGGAGCTGGGGGTGGGAGTGAGGAGGAGCTCCCAAGATGGAAGGAGCAGGGATCCCTGAATCTTCGCTGGTAGAATAGTGTCCCAACTTGCAATATCCACAGTGGGCTTTGCACAAGGGAGGAAGAATGTTGTATTGTGTTAAGCCACATATGTGATTTGTGCATGTGTGCATGTGCACATGTGTGCACATGTAGTGTGTGTGTGTGCATGTGTGCACGTGTGTGTTCGTTACAGCTGCTATTGTCAAATGTGCTGAAAGACAAGTTGTCCCTTTACCCTTAGGAGAGAGGCTCCTTACACTGACATTCAAAGTCCTCAATGACCCGGCCCCAGCCTACCTCTGCAGCCTTATCTCCCTACAAACCATCAAAGCAGAACAAAAACCTGTCCCTCCGATTTAGGTTTTAGCAAACCACAAGAAGCACTTCATAAACTGGTGACTCAAGTAGAAAAGTAAGTGTTTTTGTAATGGTTTATCTAAATACAAGGTGCTCTAATGAGACTTTTAGGAAGCTAGAACATAAGTGACCCAAAGAGAACAAAGGTACCCAGGCTCCTGCCCATTCATTGTCATCAACAGATCAGTTTATGAACAGTCGTGAATCTCCCCATGAACCTTACAGAGTGTTTTCTATGTGCCAGGTACTGTTCCACGCACTTGACACCAATCCACCCATTTCACCTGCATGATCACCCTGCCTTTGCATGAGTTGCCGGTGTGGACAGAGCAGGGACACAGTGAGACAGCGGATTCCAGCTTTGCTCTTACCTAGAACACACTGCCTCTCACCAGGAATCGTCCTTCCATTTTATGCAGTTATCCCAGACAATGATGCACAAGCTTTGGGAAAAAAACCCCACAAGTCCAAAGGTGTACTTCATAATAAAGGCAAGTTATCTGTCAGTTTGTGTGTTCTGGCCTTTGTTTTTGCTCTTGGTAGCTTACAAGGTTAGAAAGAAAACCACCTAGAAAACGTGACCTGATTTGGAACTTTTAGTCTTAGCCTAACAGGTCTAACTAGAAATACCATTTGCTGATTAAAAGCTAATTTTTAAAATCAGATGCATGATTGGTGGAGCAATGGTGGCTGGCTGGCTGTGTGGTGAATCGTAGTGGCCTGTGAGCTGTCCAGCCCAGGCAGTGGGCATGTGGATGTCTGCTTCAAAATCCTTCCAACATTTCTGTATGTTTGAAGCTTGAAAATGTTCATAATCAAACATTTTGGGAAAAGCTAACAATCTTCTTAAAGGAGAAATTCGTATTTCAGATTTCGTATTTTCCTCCTCAAAGAAGGTATATCAGTCTGGGCTCTCGGGAATAAACAACAGAAAGCAACTATAGCCACTTGGGGGAGAAAAGGACATGGGGGTGCCCCCAGACTCTGTAGGACGATAGGGAATCAAGCTGGGAGATGCTGTAGCCTGGAGCGGAGCCCAAAGCCATCGCAGGCGCGTTCTGGCAGAGAACATGCTGTGATCCGAAGTCTGCTATGCACTCCTGACCGGTAGGCAGCACCTGGATCGCCTGCCTGCACCTCCCGCCTTCCACACAAGATCTTTGGCTTCTGCCGTGGGAGGAGGGACTCAGAAACCAGGGGGGTCAGGAGTAGTCCTGTACCCAGACAGGGTATTCAGAGGTCTACCAGAACGACAAAGCCTGAGAGAGCAGCTTGTATTTCTTTCCTGCAGCACCTGGTCTCACCGTTGTTCTACAGCACAGCAGGCCAGGCTGGATTGGAGAGTCACCTTCAAGGTAAAATGCCTTAGATGCCCAGATCTCTCACATGGGGGTTTTCCTTTTGCTGAGAGGTGGTAGGTTATGGAGAATGACAGCCATGTCTACCGTGCTTCACGGTGAGTCAAGGGCTTTCCACAGGGAGGGCAGTGATATGAGCTCTTTGCACTACTTACACTGACCTAGGAGCCCCTGCATGGGTTGTGGCCTGCAGGACCATGTTTCAGGGGAAAGCTGCAAAGTCCTTAAAGAGTGTCTGAAGCCCCATCCCCCCTCCCTCTCTGGGAACGTGTCCCCAACCAGTGCCTGCCAGGTGCTCTAGCCTGGCATGCTTTTTATATTTTGTGAGCAATCACATTAATCAGATTGCTTTCCTGCCAGCTCAGATGGATGGATAATTTGATTGGAGTCTAGGAAAAAACAGGGATGACTTTTGGCATCCACATCCCAGGCATATCACATTTGACCACAGTGTCAGAGAAACAGTGCTAGTGGAATAAAAAAGAAGGTCTTGGAGCCCAGAGTAAGACTGGGCTCATATGTGGTCACAAGAGACCACATATCCTATGAAGGCGCCTAGATGGAATTGGGGAAACAGGCAAATGGGCAGTGGTGGCTAATGGAGATGGGATTTTGCTCTTTAGGGTGATGAAAGTGTTCTAAAATTAGACTATGGTGAACATTAGATTTACTCTGAATATAGTAAAATGCACTTTAAGTGGGTGAAGTTTAGATATGTAAATTATATCTCAATAAATATTTTCAAAAGGAGAAGAAGAAAGGGGTCCACATTGCCAAGTGCTCTTGAGTGGCCAAGTGAGAGGGACTGAAGAGTGTTCATTGGATTTGCCAACAAATCGGTTGACCTTGGTGTGAGCAGTTTCAGGATCTCCTGGGGGACTGAGATGGATGGGTGACGAGGAAGAGGAGAAAGTGCCCTGGACAGCACTTTTGAGGGTCCTGGCAGTGGCTCTATCTTGCTCCCTTATGGGTGTGCAGACCCACAGTGGGCCTGGAGAAATGACCCTGGTCTTCCCTGCAGCTCTGGTGGAGGCTAGGTCATTAAAGCCAGACCCCCAGTGCCACAGTTCAGAAGGCAGGATGCTGGGGCATGCAGCATGGCAGGTGAGAAAACTGCATGGCACTGGCCTGGTTCCCAGGTGTGCTCCTGGGCGTGGTCTCCACAGGTGGGGGTGGGGTGCAGGTCCCAGGTGGTTAGGGGACTGTGGTCAGCCAGCCAGGAAGAGGGGTTGAGACTAGACCAGGTTGTGGGCGTAGAGGAAATGAAAGAGACATACAGAGAGAGAGAGAGACAGAGAGAGAGTGTGTGTAGAGGCAGAAGGCAAGCTGGAGGGACCATGGTGCTGAGGAGGCTAGGGTGGGATCCAGATACAGGAGGAAGGGTAGGAGATGTGAGCATCAGGGGTGCTCCCCGGGAGGGCGTGATTTAGCCCCAGGAGCCCGGGGAAGGTAGTCTTTACACTAGTTTCAGGTATCATTTAGGTTGTATTTTGCTTCAAGAAACAGAAAGCTTCACCAGAAATGACTTACAAAGAAACTTCTCATGAGTAGCCCCTCAGAACACCTCTCCTCATATCTTAGCCAAAAAACTGCATGCCTAAACTAATCGCTGCCAGGGATAGAAGCTGGGGACTCTGTGGGAGGCCCCATCCCGGTGCCATAGGGCTGGTGCCTGGACGGCATCCGTTGTGTTAGGGAAAGGGATGGGGGGATCTGAATGGATTCTGGCTTGGCCATAGCACCCACTCCATGACATCCCCACCCAGGTGTCTGCAAGCCCTGAGGTAGGCAGCTCGCTCTGGGTTCCCTCGTCATCTAGCCCAGGAGCGCCGCTCTCCAGCGGATGCCTGGGGAAACCGCGTATGTGCACATACACCGAAAACTATGTCTGCGAGGCGAGATTATGGCTGATTATTTTTTTCCTATTGCTCGCTCTCATTTTTCTTTACAATGAAGTTGTAGACATGTATTACTTCTATAATAACAAAACAGTGAAAAGTAGAAGAAATTGCTGGGGGGCACCGTGACCCCGGGTGATGCCCGAGCTCTGTGGCGCTGTTGACGAGGACTTTCGGGTCTGGCCTCTTCCCGCGGCCCCCTCGGTGCCCTCTGCCTGGAGCCCACTTGGTTTCCAGGCTTTCCCCTCTGCCGAGCCCCTGCCAAGGGCCTAGCCCCTGTCCTCCTCCCATCTCTTCCGCAGCCAGTCTTTCCGTCTCAGCCCCAGCCTCGCCACCCCTGCGCCCAAGTCTCGGCTGATATGTCCTCTTTTTGCCCCCAGAGCCATGATCACTTCACGAGGACCTCTGCTGGTGTCTCCTCTGCTGTCCTGGAGGTCCCAGAGGACAGGAGCTGTGTCCTGTGACCTGCTGACCGCAACGCGTAGCACCTGGAAGGTGTTCATAGGATAGTTCCTCAAATGAGTCAATGGACAGTGAATGGGGAATGGAGTGGACGGTGGACGGGAGGGCAAGTTGTTTCCATGAAAGGAGGAAATTCCTGTGGAGGGAGTGGACAAGGCATGCCTGTTTGAGCCACGCGCAGATGAGTGAGTGGGTGGACGAGGCACGGACTGCGGGGAACCCGTGGGTGGGCGAGGCGTGGACGGCAGGACGCTGTGGGTGGGTGGACGATGTAAAGGGGGCTGGTGGCCGAGGCTATGGGCAGACTACGCGCTCGGCGGGAAGAGCAGGGCGCTAGGGGGCAGACGGGCGAACCGGCCGCGCGCTGTCCGCATCCGCCACGGCGTGGCGCCCCGCACCGTCAGCGCGCCGGGCGGCGAATCCCCTTTCTGCCCAGAAGGGACTTACAAAGAGGAACCTTTTGTCCCAGGCGGCGGTGAAAGGTTCCCGGTGACGCAGGCTTGTAAACAAGTTGAAAACCGGCCCTGGTCAGGCGTCAAGACGACCGCGCAGGCAGTGCTGCCGCGACCTGGGCTCGCTCGCCCGCTGCCGGGTCCCCACAGTTCCTAGCTCGCAGGCGGGGCGCGGTACCAAAGGGGCGCCGGAGGGGCCAGAGACCCCTCCACAGGCCCCAGTGTCCCTTCCTTGAGTTGTTACAGGAATCCACAGAGATATGTTGGGCAGGGCCTCCAAGCCTACAGAGCCCCTCTGCCAAAATGCTAACACATTTTTCTTTTTCTTTTTTTTCTTTTTTTTTTGGCAGCGTTTAGCTCTGTTGCCCAGGCTGGAGTGCAATGGCGCGATCTCGGCTCACTACAACTTCCGCCTCCCAGGTTCAAGCGATTCTCCAGCCTCAGCCTCCTGAGTAGCTGGGACTACAGGCACCCGCCACCGTGTCCGGCTAATTTTTGTATTTTTAGTAGAGACTGGGTTTCACCATGTTGGCCAGGCTGGTCTTAAACTCCTGACCTCAGGTGATCTGCCTGCCTTGGCCTCCCAAAGTGCTGGGATTACAGGCGTGAGCCACCACGCCTGGACCACTCTCACACTTCTAACCCTGCCTGATTTCAAACCTTCAGCCTGATTTTATGCATAATTGAGATTTGTGTGTTTTGTTTGAGACAGGGTCTTGCTCTGTGGCCCAGGCTGGAGTGCAGTGGTGTGATCTCGGCTCACTGCAGGCTCAACCTCCGTGACTCAGGCGATCGTCCTGCCTCAGCCTCCTAAGTAACTAGGGCCACCACAGGCATGCCACCACAGGCATGCCACCACACCTGACTAATTTTTGCATTTTTTTGTAGAGACAGGGTCTAGCTATGTTGTCCAGGCTGGTCTTGAACTCCTGAGCTCAAGTGATCCTTTCACCTTGGCAAGTCCCAAAGGGCTGGGATTACAGGAGTGACACCTCCCCCCACCCCCCGCCACCAACCACATCCGACTTCAAATCCAGCCCCACCCCAGCCTTGGCTTCATCAGATCCAAATTTATTCCAAATCCTGATTGAGGCTCACATTTTGAACCCAATCTTCCCCAAACCCTAACCCAAGGTGTCCACCCCAACTCTAATAAGGTCTTTTAGTGCAAAACCCGTTACTAACAGGATGCTAATTAGAGCACCTGGTAAACTTATAGCAACATACTTTCTTTCTTTCTTTTTTTTTTTTTTTTTGAGACAGAGTCTCTCTCTGTCACTGAGGCTGGAGTGCACTGGCCCCATCTCGGCTCACTGCAAGCTCCACCTCCCGGGTTCTCCTGCCTCAGCCTCCGAAGTAGCTGGGACTACAGGCGCCCGCCACTATGCCCGGCTAAATTTGTTTTGTATTTTTTGGTAGAGACGGGGTTTCACTGTGTTGGCCAGGATGGTCTTGATCTCCTGACCTCGTGATCCGCCCGCTTCAGGCTCTGGAAGTGCTGAGATTACAGGCGTGAGCCACCGTGCCTGGCTTATAGCAACAAGCTTTCACCCAACCCCAATGTGAACCAACTGCAAACCCAAACATAAATTGACAGACTCTCCAAAATGCTGTTTGCAAAAATAGACAAGAAATGCATGAATACATTGTGGGTGTAAAAAAATCCCAATGATACAACAATGAAGGTGGTAAAAGCTGGACGTTCCCCTTTACGAGCCACCACGTCCTCCTCCATGTATGTATTCTTTTTTTTTTTTTTTTTTTTTTTTTTTTTTTTTGAGACGGAGTCTCGCTCTGTCGCCCAGGCTGGAGTGCAGTGGCGGGATCTCGGCTCACTGCAAGCTCCGCCTCCCGGGTTCACGCCATTCTCCTGCCTCAGCCTCCCAAGTAGCTGGGACTACAGGCGCCCGCCACTACGCCCGGCTAATTTTTTGTATTTTTAGTAGAGACGGGGTTTCACCGTTTTAGCCGGGATGGTCTCGATCTCCTGACCTCGCGATCCGCCCGCCTCGGCCTCCCAAAGTGCTGGGATTACAGGCGTGAGCCACCGCGCCCGGCCCATGTATGTATTCTTCAACAGCAACTTGCTTGGCTTTTCTTACTGGCAAACCTTCATGGAATGGAATCATTTGCCCTTACTCTCCAGGGACTGGCTGCTTCTGCTCAGCGTTGTGAAATCCATCCACATGGATGCATGTGCCTGGGGCTGATCCTTCATTATTGCTGCATAGTAGGATTGCATTGTACCAATACAGCAAAATTTATTTGTTCCTTTTACTGTTGATGACATTGACTTGTGTCCAGTTTTTTCCTTTTTAAAAACAATGCTTCTAAAACCAATGGTGTACATGTCTCCTGATCCACAGAAAGAAGGATTTTTCTTGGGCACACATTCTTGAGTGGACCTGCTGGGTCATCAGAGGTACATGTGTTCAGTGTTACTAGATAACGCCACACTGTCTTCCAAACTGGTTGTACCTATTACACTTCACCAGCGGGGACTTTTATCTACTTCCTTGCCAACACTCTATTGCCAAGGCTTTTAATTTTTGCCAGTCTTTTAGGAGAGTCCTATCTCATTGTGGCTTTAATTTGCATGTCCCTGTTGACAATAAGGCCAAACATCTTCCCACCTGCTTATTAGCTTTCAGCTTTCCTCTTTTGTGAAGTGTCTCTTGAAGTCTTATGCACTTCCTATTGGGTTATTTGTCTTTGCCCTGCTAATTTGCAAGAGTGCTTTATGTCCTGCGGATACTTGTCCTTTGTCAGATACATATCTTCATTTTCCAAAAACCTTACCGATTTGCCTTTTATAGTTTGGTCTTTAATTCACTTGGAAATTACTTTTGTGCATAGTGTGAGACAGAAGGTTAATTTCACTTTTTCTCCATTTGGATAAGCAATTGCCTATCATATATAAAAAAGTCTATCCTGGGGCCAGGCGCTGTGGTTCACACCTGTAATCCCAGCACTTTGGGAGACTGAGGTGGGCAGATCACTTGAAGCCAGGAGTTTGCAACGAGCCTGGCCAACATGGCGAGACCTGTCTCTACAAAAAATATAGAAATTAGCCAGGCGTGGCAGCACATGCCTGTAATCCCAGCTACTCAGGAGGCTGAGGCATGAAGATCGCTTGAATCCGAAAGGCAAAGGTTGCAGTAAGCCAAGATTGCACCACTGCACTCCAGCCTGGGCAACAGAGTGAGATTCCATCTCAAAAAAAAAGAAAAAAGAAAAAATGTATCCTTTGTCCTCTGGTATGCACTTTTATTGGTGCCATATATTAAGCATCTATGGATACATAGGCCTGTGTCTGGGTCCTATTTTGTTTGACTGTCATCTGTTCCATTCTGTATATTATTATCACTAATCCTCACGACCCTGTGTATATCATTTTTCTTTTCTTTTTCTTTTCTTTTCTCTCTCTTTTTTTTTTCATGAGGGGGACAGAGTTTTGCTCTTGTTGCCTAGGCTGAAGTGCAATGATGCAATCTTGGCTCACTGCAACCTCCGCCTCTGGGGTTCAAAGGATTCTCCTGCCTCAACCTCCAGAGTAGCTGGGATTACAGGTGCCTGCCACCACATCCAGTTGATTCTTGTATTTTTGGTAGAGACAGGGTTTCACCATGTTGGCCAGACTGATCTTGAGCTCCTGACCTCAGGTGATCCACCCGCCTCGGCCTCTCAAATTGCTGGGATTACAGGCGTGAACCACCGCATCTGGTCAAATGTCATTTTCTAACAAACAAACACACAGATAATTCCATCAGTGCCATAAATATGTTTGTTTTCCTGCAGATATCCCGCCTGCATCTGCCCTCCCTCCCGCTCTCATCTTGACTGATCAATTTTTTCGGCTTCTTGTATAATTGCCATCATAGGACCTCCCTTCCCCTCCTTGTGTTAGATTCATGCAAGGAAGTGTCTTTTGCTTCCTTGACTTACTTTTATATTTTAGTGGATCATTCTTTGAGTAACTTTCTGAAAGAGAATCGCAGGAGGTAAACTTTAGAGAGGCAGCATGTCTAGAAGTTCTCCTGCTTGGCGGATTAGCTGGGCACAGGATTCTAGTTTGGAATAAGTTTGTCCCTGGGATGTTGAAGGTATTTTAGAGCTGTTTGTGACAGATAGTGTTTTCCACAAATAGCCAAAGCAGTATGTCCAGTCCTGCATGCTCTTTCCGAAACTTGTTATTCTCCATTAGGACGCAGAGACTGTTTCCCATGCCCTTGATCTGGGTGGGTCTTTGGAACTGCCTCGACACACACAAGGTGGCAGAAGTGAAGCTGCGTGACTTTCTTTTTTTTCTTTTTTTATTATACTTTAAGTTCTAGGGTACATGTGCACAATGTGCAGGTTTGATACATAGGTATGCATGTGCCATGTTGGTTTGCCGCACCCATTAACTCATCATTTACATTAGGTATTTCTCCTAATGCTATCCCTCCCCCAGCCCCCCACCCCCTGACAGGCCCTGGTGTGTAATGTTCCCCGCCCTGTGTCCAAGTGATCTCATTGTTCAATTCCCACCTGTAAGTGAGAACATGCGGTGTTTGGTTTAATGTCCTTGCGGTAGTTTGCTGAGAATGACGGTTTCCAGCTTCATTCATGTCCCTACAAAGGACATGAACTCATCCTTTTTTATGGCTGCATAGTATTCTGTGGTGTATATGTGCCACGTTTTCTTAATCCAGTCTATCATTGATGGACATTTGGGTTGGTTCCAAGTCTTTGTTATTGTGAATAGTGCCGCAATAAACATATGTGTGCATGTGTCTTTATAGTAGCATGATTTATAATCCTTTGGGTATATAACCAGCAATGGGATTGCTGGGTCAAATGGTAATTCTAGTTCTAGATCCTTGAGGAATCACCACACTGTCTTCCACAATGGTTGAACTATTTTACACTGCCACCAACAGTGTAAAAGCATTCCTATTTCTCCATATCCTCTCCAGCATCTGTTGTTTCCTGACTTTTTAATGATTGCCATTCTAACTGGTGTGAGATATTATCTCATTGTGGTTTTGATTTGTGTTTCTCTGATGGCCAGTGATGATGAGCATTTTTTCATGTGTCTGTTGGCTGCATAGATGTCTTCTTTTGAGAAGTGTCTGTTTATATCCTTTGCCCACTTTTTGATAGGGTTGTTTGTTTTTTTCTTGTAAATTTGTCTGTGTTCTTTGTAGATTCTGGATATTAGCCCTTTGTCAGATCAGTAGATTGCAAAAATTTTCTCCCATTCTGTAGGTTGCCTGTTCATGCTGATGGTAGTTTCTTTTGCTGTGCAGAAGCTGTTTAGTTTGATTAGATCCTATTTGTCTATTTTCGCTTTTGTTGCCATTGCTTTTGGTGTTTTAGTCATGAAGTCCTTGCCCTTGCCTATGTCCTGAATGGTATTGCCTATGTTTTCTTCTAGGGTTTTTATGGTTTTAGATCTAACATTTAAGTCTTTAATCCATCTTGAATTAATTTTTGTATAAGGTGTAAGGAAGGGATCCAGTTTCAGCTTTCTACATATGGCTAGCCAGTTTTCCCAGCACCATTTATTAAATAGGGAATCCCTTCCCCATTTCTTGTTTTTGTCAGGTTTGTCAAAGATCAGATGGTTGTAGATGTGTGGTGTTATTTCTGAGGCCTCTGTTCTGTTCCATTGGTCTATATCTCTGTTTTGGTACCAGTACCATGCTGTTTTGGTTATTGTAGCCTTGTAGTATAGTTTGAAGTCAGGTAGCATGATGCCTGCAGCTTTGTTCTTTTTGCTTAGGATTGCCTTAGCAATGTGGGCTCTTTTTTGGTTCCATATGAACTTTAAAGTAGTTTTTTCCAATTCTGTGAAGAAAGTCATTGGTAGCTTGATGGGGATGGCATTGAATCTATAAATTACTTTGGGCAGTATGGCCATTTTCACAATATTGATTCTTCCTATCCACGAGCATGGAATGTTCTTCCATTTGTTTGTGTCCTCTTTTATTTTGTTGAGCAGTGGTTTGTAGTTCTCCTTGAAGAGTTCTTTCACATCCCTTGTAAGTTGGATTCCTAGGTATTTTATTTTCTTTGTAGCAATTATGAATGAGAGTTCACTCATGATTTGGCTTTCTGTTTGTCTGTTAATGGTGTAGAGGAATGCTTGTGATTTTTGCCACTGATTTTGTATCCTGAGACTTTGCTGAAGTTGCTTATCAGCTTAAGGAGATTTTGGGCTGAGACGATGGGGTTTTCTAAATATACAATCATGTCATCTGCAAACAGGGACAATTTGACTTCCTCATTTCCTAATTGAATACCCTTTATTTCTTTCTCTTGCCTGATTGCCCTGGCCAGGACTTCCAACACTATGTTGAATAGGAGTGGTGAGAGAGGGCATCCTTGTCTTGTGCCAGTTTTCAAAGGGAATGCTGCCAGTTTTTGCCCATTCAGTATGATATTGACTGTGGGTTTGTCATAAATAGCTCTTATTATTTTGAGATACATTCCATCAATACCTAGTTTATTGAGAATTTTTAGCATGAAGGGCTGTTGAATTTTGTCGAAGGCCTTTTCTGCATCTATTGAGATAATCATGTGGTTTTTGTCATTGGTTCTGTTTATGTGATATATTATGTTTATTGATTTACATATGTTGAGCCAGCCTTGCATCCCAGGGATGAAGCCAACTTGATTGTGGTGGATAAGCTTTTTGATGTGCTGCTGGATTCAGTTTGCCAGTATTTTATTGAGGATTTTCACATCGATGTTCATCAGGGATATTGGTCTAAAATTCTCTTTTTGTGTGTGTGTCTCTGCCAGGCTTTGGTATCAGGATGATGCTGGCCTCATAAAATGAGTTAGAGAAGATTCCCTCTTTTTCTATTGATTGGAATATTTTCGGAAGGAATGATACCAGCTCCTCTTTCTACCTCTGGTAGAAGTTGGCTGTGAATCCGTCTGGTCCTGGACTTTTTTTGGTTGGTAGGCCATTAATTATTGCCTCAATTTCAGAGAGGCTGCATGACTTTCAAGGCTAGACCATAAAAGGTGATATGGCTTCCTCCTGGTGTTCTCTTGGGAAGCTTTACCTTGGAAACCAGCCTCCATGTAGTGAGGAAGCCCTGGCCACATGGAGGGGCCACATGTGGTGTCCTGGCTAAAAATCCCAGCTAAGGTCTCAGCCCACAGTCAGCGTCGATTCCCAGACAAGTGAATGAGCAATCTCTTAGGTAATGTCAGCCCCCAGACTTTGAATCATCTCAGCTGATGCTGAGCAAAGCAGAAATCTGCTATCCCCTCCCAGCCCCATGCAAGTGGAAGATTTGTGAGCAAAATAAACATTGTCATTGTTTTAGCTACTAAGTTCTGGCATCTTTGTTATGCAGCCAACATGACTGGGACTCCCCTCTGTATGCCAGCTACTGGCTAACTAGACCCTGGGGAAATGGGGTGGTGAGCAGGCCGTTCCCTGCATCTAAGGAGGTCAGAATGGATTCAATGCAACCTAAGTACACTTGTGAAGGCCAGGTGCAGTGGCTCACGCCTGTAATCCCAGCACATGAGAGGATTGCTTGAGTCCAGGAGTTTGAGGCTGCAGTGAGCTATGATCACACCACTCTACTCCAGCCTGGGCAACAGAGTGAGACCCTGTCTCAAACAATAAATAGAAAAATACACTTTCAAGACAAAGTAACAAATGTCAGAAGCCGTGTTTGTTTATTTTTGTTTTAATTTTAAATTAAATTTTGCAGAATTTTACAAAGCCCTTGCCTCTATGATGAGTGCAGCCCTCTGGAAGAATGCTTTGAAGACAAAGCAAGGCAGAGCACATGGTCCCCTATGTCTCTTGCCTGTGTCACTGTATTCTTTAAAAGAAAATGACCCTAGTCCTTGCCTTTTTTCTCACATAACATCTGATGAGCTTAGTGATTATGCCTCTGTTATCTATAAGCAGATATACTCTTGCACCCAAACTCTGATGGGACTGGATATACTGCACCTGCACCACCTGGGTATAAGCCATGCGCAGAATCACTGTGCAGAAATGGCCTGATAGAGCCTTTCAAAAGGGCTGCTCCCAGCTACGGGCCTCGGTCTATAGTCCTCAGTAAGGCTTCTACATAAAACTGACTTTAATTCTCTAAAAGCTTGACTTTTTTTAGTAGATACACTTAAAAATAATATAAAAGAGTGAGTGATTCCCTGTCCCCCAGTGCCTTAACATTTGTTCCAGTTTCCATCCGGACACTTTGGATAGCCCTGAGCTCACTGGTGTGCTCTCCTGAAAGGTAGAGGGAGGGATGGTGATAGTTTCAACCAGGCTCACCCAGCCCATGAGGAGGAATTGGTTAGTGATGTGGGGTGACAAGAACTTGGAGAACACTGCCCAGCAACGCTTTTGCCTGTGCTGCCCCCCAGAGCTGTGCTGTGGGGCCTGTCCTATGCATGCCTCTCCTCTGCCGGCGACGAGCCCAGCCACCTAAAAGGCTGTGAGCACAGATGGCTTTTTCCTCCTCAGCCCAGAAGAGAGTGAGAACTTGGGAACGCTTGTGGAGCTGAGCTAGAGAGCCACGTTCCTAAGACTTGAGGTGGCAAAGTTCAGATCGGATAAGGGATTGCCGGACCCTGTGTACATCCAGCTTAGTGACCCCAGAAACACAGTTGCCCTGTGCAGTCCCTGTCACCTCTGAGGAAGCCAGAGAGGTCTGTCCCTTGGAGAAGAGTGCGGCTGCTGTGAAGGGGACTCTGGCCAGCCCAGGACCAGCATGCAAAGGCCCTAGGGTCCAGGATGAGCTGCCTCTCACCTGCCGGGTGCTTCTCTACCCTGACCCTGCAGTGGAGCGAGGTGGGCAGGGGCTTGAGCTGCAAGAGGAGGCTTTGGGAGAAACATGGGGGGCAGGCCACAAGCACAGGTGAGAATCATTCCTCCCTCATTTGGAAAAGCGAGATGGAGCATCCCCCAGGCCAGGCATGCTGGGAATGCGGCAAGGAACAAAAAGAGCAGAATCGTCCCTCACAGAGCTAACCTGATGCAGGGAGACCCAGGCAGCTCGTCCTGCAGGCAGCAGGCTGGGAGAAGGGGCCCGCCAGGGGCTGTAGCCGCCTGGGTGGTGGGGCGTTCTATTTTACAGAGTGGCCACGGGGTCTCCCGGGGCACAGGGACCTGAAGGAGGAGAGGGCATGGGTCAGCCACTGCCTGGGAGAAGAGGATGCCGGGCAGAGAGCCAGCAAGAGGGCGAGCCCTGACCCAGAGCGGGGCCGAGGGACTGGGCAGGGTCAGTGTGGTTGGTGCAGAGCCAGTGAAGGGAGTGTGGTGGGCAGCCCAGAGCCCACAGGGTCGCTGGCCACTGCCATGCTCCTCACTCCCCAGGGAAAGGGAGAACACTCATAGGGGCAGGATCTCACTCATAGTTTTTTGGTTTGTTTTGTTTTTTTTCTGGGAGAGGGTCTGTCTCTTTGGCCCAGGCTGGGGTGCAGTGATGTGATCACAGCTCACTGCAGCCTCAAACTCCTGTGATCCTCCTATCTCAGCCTCCAGAGTACCTGGGACTAGAGGCACATGCCACCATGCAACTGGTTAATTAAGAAAATTTTTAGAGATGGGGTGTTGCTATGTTACCCAGGGTGGTCTCAAACTCCTAGCCTAAAGTAATCCTCCTGCCTCAGCCTCCTAAAGTGCTCGGATTACAGCCATGAGCCACTGTGCCCAGCCTCACTCATAGTTTTGAAGGGTCACTGTGGCTGTTGGGTTGAGAAGAGACAGGAAAGCAGGGTAGACACAGGGAGCTAACCTGATGCAGGGAGCATCATGTGCCTGGTGGAAGGCGACTGCAATGGTCTAGGAGAAGGGTGACAGTGACCTGAAGCAGGGAGGGGGGCTGTAGAGGTGAGGGAAAGTGACCAAACCCTAGCTATGTTGTGAACGATTTGCTAGATGCAGTTTATAAGACAGAGGAGTCAACGAGGACCCAGTGATGATTTTGGCCCTAGCACCTGGAAGGACAGAGCTGCCTAGGAGGGACCAGAGCCATGGGCTCTGGATAGTTTTTGTTTCCTGGCCTGTGGCCCTATTTGTTACTCAGCAGGGCTTCAACTGACCCATGCATCCCACCCTGAACTAACATATCCTGCATGTTGCAAGGGCTAGGTGTTGGTGAAAAAGATGACTCAGATGTAGATCTTCAGTTCAGTCAGTTCCTCACTCAGCAAACATTCATGGAGCTCCTCCTATGTGCCAGGCACGGTAGAAGGGGCTGGGGTGTGACAGTGAGCAGAGACATGGCCTCTGCCCCCAGGGAGCTTATAGCCCAGCAAGGGAGCGAGATGGTAATCAGGCAGAGAAATGAGAAGGTGAGTGAGAAAAGGGCTTCTCTGCACAGGAGACCCTGCACGCTGAGCTGCTGGCTGCACGTTCTCCCCTCACAGAGGGAGCATGAGGAAACAAAATGAGACTTACCTAAAGGGAGGTCAGAGATGGCCTTCTAAAGAGCAGCTGTTGAAGGTGAAGTCTGAAAGCCAGTTAAAGAGCTGGCCTGGCAAGATCTGGGTATAGCGAACTCTAGAAGGGAAGGTGCAAGAGTGACATCCCAGTGGTAGGGGAGGCCTTGGCGAGCCTGAAGAACAACAGGAAAGAGTCAGTCAAGTTTTGCTCTGGAAGAAAACACTTGAAAATATAGCGCTTAGAACAACAACCATTGGTTTTGCTCACGATTCTGTGGATTGGCAATTTGGGCTGGCCTCAGCTGAGACATTGTTCTGCTGGGCTGGGCCTGGCCCTGGCCCACGTGTCTGAGGTCAGCCACCAGTCGGCAGAGCTGAGTGGCCTTGGAGAGCCTTAGTTGGCATGGCCTGTCTCTGTTCCACATGGTCTCTCCTCCCCCATGGGCTTGTCACACACAGCTGGGCAGGGGTCTTCGGTGTGAGGGTGGAAGTGGCAAAGCCTTGAGACCCAGGCTCAGAGGGGTTCAACATAGCTTCTGCCACAAGCTGTGGACCAAAGCAAGTCACAGGCCAGCCCGGATCCAGGGGATGGAAGACTCCATGTCTGCACAGGAGGAGCTTCATGGAATTAAGGACAGACTGCATCTTCCCTGGCCCATGGGGCTGGAGCAGAGCAAGAGGAAGGATGTGGTGACGGCAGGGGTCCCTACTGCTGGGCTGTCACTCTTGTTCCTTCCCTTCTAGAGCCTTGGTTACCCTGATCCTGCCAGGCCAGCTTTTTTTTTTTTTTTTTTTTTTGTGACAGAGTCTTGCTCTGTCACCCAGGTTGGAGTGCAGTGGCGCAATCTCAGCTCACTGCAACCTCCGCCTCCTGGGTTCAAGCAATTCTCCTGCCTCAGCCTCCCGAGTAGCTGGGATTACAGGAGTATACCACCTCACCCAGCTAATTTTTGTATTTTTAGTAGAGATGGGGTTTTGCCACATTGGCCAGGCTGGTCTCGAATTCCTGATCTCAGGTGATCCACCCACCTCAGCCTCCCAAAGTCTTGGGATTACAGGCATGAGCCACTGCACCCAGCCCACCAGGCCAGCTCTTTATTGGCTTTTAGACTTCACCTTCAGTGGCTGCTCTTTAGAAGGCCTTCTTGCCATTGAGGTCACAGTGAGGAGTCTGTGTGTTTCCACCTGCAATGGAAAACCACTGAATGGGGAAAGACAACTTAATTAACATTACAAAAATCCAAGCAAATTGGAGAGGACAACGGTAGATATGGAAGCCACTACTCTGTGGTCCGGTTGAGGAGGAGAGGACTGGGACAAAGACGGAGGCACTGGGGAGGGAAGAGGTAAAGGAGAATTTGCAGGAGAAGGCCATGCATCAGGCATGGGATCAGGAGATGAGAGTGTTGGAGATGAAGTCCTGGGTTTCTGGACTCCAGAGTCTCCTATGCAGACAACTGGGAACCTGGCTTCAAGATCGCACAAGCCTTTGCCACTCATCCCCAGTATTGGAGTCTGCACCCGCTTAAGCCCAAGAGAAGCCAAGGGGTGCTGTCTGCCTGAGTGTGGTGGGGATGTGGACATAGCATGGACTCAGCCTGGGTGTCCGCAAATGTGTGAGTGAGGCCTTAGACCTGAATGTGTCCAGGGCAGGAAGGGAAGGGCAGTAGACTCCATTTTACTCTTGGCCTGAGTTCCACAAATATTAGGGGTGAGGCTGCTGGGGTGGGAGAGTGCCTGAGAGAAACCCATGTAGAGGTAGCAGACACGTGGCTGGATCCGTGATTGGAATTCAGCTGGCAGATCCTGGCAGGAGTCAGAAATTTGGAAGTCGCTACCCAACAGATAAAATAAAAGCCACAAACACTGATGAAGTCATTTGGGAAAGGCATACCTCAGGGCATGATATAGTGCCTGGCACACAGGTGTTTATCAGGGAAACAATTCAATGAGAGCAAAGAAAAAACACTTCTTTCTTTGCTAGGAACACCTATGCTGCATGAGTCAGAAGCAAGTATCAGAAGATGATGGATCTCATTACTTAGAGAAAAGAAGGCCTCAAACCCATTGCACATGGGTAGGGAGGATGAAAAGAAACACCCACAGAGTTAAGCCACAACACTGGGAAAACTGATGGATTTGTGAACATGGGAGATGAACTTGACAAAGACTCCAGATGCACCAGGAGTGGGATATGAATGGGAAGGATGGCCCTCCAGACAGCTGGCAGAGGACTTCCCCTTTAGGGCAAAACACATGGTTGAAATTTACCAGCTAAGATCCCAAAGGGGAGTGAAGAAGCCGGCTGGGGTTGGAGAGCACCCTCTTCTGAACTGAGGAAATTGAACATGAAAGCTCAGCAGCAGCCACAGCTGGGGCATTGTTACAGATCTCAGAGAAAAACGCCAACTCTCAGAAGCTTTCTGGCAGAAAATAAAAGTTACTTTCAAAGATGCAAGCTTCAGATTTACAGCCTCAGAGGGACCAGAACCCTCGGGGAAAAAGAACAAGACAGACGGATTTCGCGTTTCACAGCAGCAGAGGGGCAGGTTCCCGGCTGGCAGAGCACATCTAGTGTTTGCAGCAGGAGGCCGTGTCCTCCTAGCCGTGCCCTGACCAGGAGGATTTCTGGTGCAGCCAGCATTTTGCTCCTCTATTCTGCAGACGAGGAAACAGAGGCCCAGAGAGGTCCAGACCTAGGAAGGCTGCACGCCAGCCGGCCTCTGAGCAGGGGGCTGGGGCCGCCTCCACTCTGTTTCCTCTGCTTCCCAGGAGGCCACTGTCCCCCGGGAGGCCCTTGATGCAGCTCCACTGCTGTGGTCACTCCTGCCTGTCACAACTCCTGCCATCCCTGGGGCCCAGACCTCCCCAGCTCCTGTCAGGCCATCCCATCTCCGGCCCTGCCTCTTCTGCTCAGCCAGACCACCTCTGGCCCCTGCTGGGGGAATGGCGGGGCTAAGGCACCTTCCTGAGCACATGGTGCCCAGGCCGTCCCTTCCCCCCCGCCACAACTGCGAGGCAGCCCTGTCATGGCCTCAACTCCCGCAAGGTGAAATGGAGACGTGGGGAGGCCTAGGGACCTGCAGGAGCCCACACCGCCAGGAGAAGTGCAGTTGGGACCTCCCAAAGTCAGACTGGAGTGGACCTCTTGCCCCCCTGATGGCCCCTCCTGGATCCAGGGCCCAGTGTTCTCTTTTCTCTACAAATGTCCTCCCTCAGGGCAGGGCAGGGTAGGGTTTGTGCTTCTGTCTCTGAAACATGTGGCTCTTTTTTTTTTCCTTTTTGAGACAAGAGTCTCTCTCTGTTGCCCAGGCTGGAGTGCAGTGGCATGATCTTGCCTCAATGGCAGTGGCGCCATTCTCCTGCCTCAACCTCTGGAGTAGCTGGGACGAGAGGCATCTGCCACCTTGCTCGGCTAATTTTTTGTATTTTTGGTAGAGTCGGGGTTTCACCGTGTTAGCCAGGATGGTCTCGATCTCCTGACATCGTGATCCGCCCTCCTTGGCCTCCCAAAGTGCTGGGATTACAGGCATGAGCCACTGCGCCCCAGCCAAAATGTGACTCTTTAAGGGCTTGGGCTCTGACTTTAGACTACTTGGGTTTGAATCCTGGCTCTGTCGTCTTCTGGCTGTGTGGCCCAGGGTGAGTTACTCACCCTCTTTGTGCCTCCATAACCTTCTCTATAAAACAAGTCAATGAGTGTGCCTGTTTTACAGGGCTGGGCAAGCATTAAATGAGTTATTACTCGGGAATCACTTGGAACAGAGCTTGGCCTGGCTGAGCAGCCCATCCCAGGCAGGATCCTGTTAGATTCGTGCCTTGGCTGTCACTCGCCTCAGACACCCTTGCCCCAGTTACAGAAAGAGTCTCCAGCTGGTCTCTGGCTTCTGCCTTATCCTCCCCAACCCCACACCCGGATTCTGTTCTTGGTGGGCCAAGAGGGAGGGATCCTTGAAGACATGTTAGACCACGTCATCTCTCTGCTCAAAACCCTCCAATGGCTCAAACTCACTCAGCGTTGCATCCCCAGCAGGCTCTCTGGCCTCACTGTCTCTTCACTCTCCCTGTGCCATTGCAGCCGCACAGGCCTCCTCCGCCTCGCAGTTACACCAGGCATGCTGCCTCAGAACCCTTGTACTGCCTGTTTCCTCTCCCCTTACTCTACCTCCAAGATTTCAGTCACCTCAGTGAGGCCTGTTCTCACTGGCCTGCTCCACATTGTGGCCCATAGCTCTAGCCTGACACCCCCAGCACCGCCACCTGTCCATGATCACTTCTCATGTCTCCCTCTGACACTCCCTGTCACTTACTGCCTGAGTCTATTGCTTGCTTTCTGTCTTCCCCTCACACAATACAAGCTTTCTGAGAGCAGAAGTCATTGTCCATGGTGTTCACGGACGTGGCCCAAATGCCCGACAAGAGCTGGCACATGACCGTGACTCTGCATGAAGTTTGACTGAATTAGGAATTTCAGAATTAGCAGAGTGTCTCCTGCAAATGCAGATTCCTGGGCCCCTGGCTCCGCCTGTCTGGGAGTGAGACTCAAGACCGTCTTGTTAACCTTGCTGCCAATCTGCCAGTTGAATCTGATACAGTTACACATTCTCGTGTCATCGCATGGAAAGAGTTGCACTCCCGAGTGCAGAGACCACAGACCACATCTGACTTCTGAGGCTCTCTAGCCCTTCAAGTCCCTGAATTTTTCTGGCCTCTCTAACAGTGGCAAAATGCCCAGTGCTGTATGAGAAGCATTTGCTTTTGCAAGAAGTGGCCAGAGGCATGGAACAAGTCCCAGCCAGGACCGGGACCAGATAAAGGCCCGTTTCCAGGTGGCTGAAGAGGTCAAGGCCTTGAGGAACGAGGATGGCCTGCAGGCTGGTGAGGGGAGGTGGCCGATGACTCCCAGGCAGGATGATCCACAGGCCTGGGCAGGTCCAGAGAACAGCTGGTGACCCCGAGCAGAGTAGGGGGCCTGGCTCACAGGGTTGACCACCCTACAGGAGGAAGCAGAGCTGGTGCAGGGCTGCTGGCACGTCCTGGCATTACGGGAAGAAAGGGGCTAGAGGTTCAGCATGATTCTGCCCCTATGGTGCTCACATCAGGACTCGGCACTGTAGGATGACGCGTCAAGCCAGGGGAGGCAGAAACCAGAGGGAGAGGGAGAGATCGCAGGTCAGGGGCGCTGAGTAGGGGGAGTGGGTGCAGGGGGCTGGGTGCAGATGTTGAAGAGAAGCCAAGACCCCTGCCCACAAACACAGCACCTCTCAAGGCACTAAAATGTTGTAACCTGAATTCAGAAACTTATTCTCTGTCCCAAGCCTGAAAGGAGAGTGGACACCACTTCTCTTGCACCCGCAATGAGCTCTGCTGTGCTCTCCTTTCCTTTTCTATTTTATTCTTGTCTTTGTTGATTTTCTTGACAGTGCTGACTACACTTTCCTAAATGTGCAACTGGAAACAGCCCTGGCCTGGCTAGTGACATGTAGGGACTGTGAGGTCCAGGCCCGGCCCCTTCCCACAGGCCTTTCCTTGAGCAGGCAAGGCAGGGAGAGAGGAATGTCCAGGTCTTCCTCCTCCCTGCAGGTTCTGGCTGGTGGCCTGACCCCATGGGCCACCCTGGTCTGGGCTCTGCCTCTGAGTTTTTCCTTTGTCTTTAGAATATTCAAGCACAACTTCCCCACTCTTTTGGTAACACACCCAGGAGGCCCTGGCATGGATGGAGCAGCTGGGAAAATATTCCAGCCTGGGCAAAGGGCACTGCCTGAACACCCCAGATACCCCTGACTCCCAGCGACTGCAGTCGCTGGCCCTCCTTGGTGACCTCTGGGCTTCTCATGGCCAGTAACAGAGGGGACACCTCTGTCCCATCCCTCTGCGGCACCTGCGCCCTCCCGTGGTTAGATACTGTGAACGTCTCTCACCCTTGGGTCTGTGCTGGAACCTGCTGGCTCCAGGCCTGTCTGCCTGAAACCTGGTCTCTCTCCACTCCACCCTGCCTCTCTCCAGCACAGTTTAGCACCTTCTGCCTTTCAGAGTTACCAAAGAAAGGCAAAACAAAACCTGTTTCTCAACCATGTCCAATGCACCTAGTCCTGAGGTTCTGTCTCCAAAATATGTTCTCAAGGCCATTTGCATCTCCATGGCCACTACTGGGGTAGAGCCCCCACTCCCTCGACTCCCATCTGTCTCCTGTACTGCTCAGCTCCCTGTGCTGCCCTGTCCTGGCCCCCACAGTGTCCTGAGGCTGACCTCTAGGACAAGACACACTGACTTCTGGTTTGGTTTCATCAATAGGAGGCACCAGCACACTGGGGTAGAGGCAGCAGAGACAGCTCAGGGCACCTGGCTGCCTACTCCTCTGTCTGGGCGAGGTTCCAGCAGTGCCTGTCGGGTGGCTCCTATGCGTCCACCTACCGGCCCTGTCCTCAGCTCCTCCAGGCCTCTGGGTGGGGTGGGAGCCTCCACTCCCGGGAGCTGCACCCTCTAACCTGCCTGCCTCTGTCACGAGCCCTGGCATGACATTTATTCTGTTCGGCCTGCTTGAGTGTGCTGGTTTCTCCTGGGGGGCACCAGCTGATACATCCCGACAGCCCTTGTTTTATTTTAAATTGTGGTAAAGTATACGTAACATAAAATTACTGTCTTCATCATTTTTGAGTGTACAGTTCAGTACATTAAGCATATTCACATTGTTATGCAACAATTACCACCATCCATCCACAGAACTTTTTCATCTTGTAAAACTAAAACTCTGTCCCATTAAACACAGACTCCCCCAAAGCTTGGTGACCACCATTCCACTCTTCATCTCTGTGAACCTGACTGCTCTAGGGACCTCGTATAAGAGGAATCACATGGGACTTGTCATTCCATGCCTGGCTTGTTTCCCTCAGCACCATGTCCTCAAGGTTCATCTGTGCCTTGCATATGACAGATTTCCTTCCTCTCTAAGGCTGGTCATGTTCCATTATGTGGATAGAGCACATTTGGCTTCTTCATCTGTCGATGGACACTCGGGTGCTTCCACCTTTTGGCTACTGTAAGCCACACCATGATGTGCATCGGTGTGCTCAGCTGTGCTTTTGCACATGGCACAAAGGAATCTTAAAAAACTGAAGTCAGATCAAGTCTCTCTCTTGCTTAAACACGTCAGCGCATTCCCGTTGCTCTGAGAATACCAACAAAAATCTTTATTATGGTCTACAACAGTGTTTCTGAGTCGCCAGTTGCAGCCACTCCGTGGGTCAGGATGGTTAGCTGCATGGCTGCACCCTCGCTTCATAGAAGGAGGGCAGAGGTGCATGGAATGGAGCAAGAAGCTGTGCACCCAGGGCTCACACCACCGCAGGAGCCGGCGAGCATGACGGTGTGATGCTTGCATTGCCGGAAGACACCCGCAGGTTGAGCCAGGTGATTGCTCACTGTGGGGCGTGTCCTGCTTGTTGCGACCCAGGCCCTCCTCGCAGCTTCCACAGCTCCCACTCATCGCCCACATCTGCTGCTCTCAGCCTCAGCGTCCTGCAGAGCCACCAGCGTGCTGGCACTTCCCCGCCCCCAGCCCATGCCTCCGCATGGGTCACCCTTCCCTGGTTCCTCTCAAGACAGCTCCTTCTCAGCTCCAGCAGGACCTCTGTGGAGAGGCCACCCCGACGCAGCCCACCTGAAGCAGCTTCCCTTTGCCTCCATGCTTGTCTGGTTGGAATGTTCATGAGGACAAAGACCGTGCTGTGCTCCCTGCCCTTGGGCTGGGCGCAGGCTGGGCTGGCACGCCGTGGGCCTCCACAAAGAGCTGTCCTAGCACTGAGCACCACTGGGACTTCTCCATTCTCTGCATGGAGCCCCTGTATATCCCGCAGTGGAATAAAAGCTCCCAGAAGGTAGATCCTGCCTCTGTGGCGAATGCTGTGTCCCCAGAACAGTACCAGGCACATAGTAGGTACTCAGTAAATGCCTGTTGGGTGAATAAGCGTATGAACTGCATCTGTAGCCAGGAACAGGGGGATGTCAGGGAAAAGCGCCCCCAGGAAGGTGCATGCTCTGGGCTCTGGGCTGGGGGCTGGAATGCAGGAGTGGGTATGGGTGGGGGCAGCTGAGGGTCCCTGGGTCTCAGGCTTGCAGACTCCTTGCCTGCCCTCTGCTCTGGTGTGCCTGGCCAAGCTCCCCAGTCTCCCTAGGCAGCCCTGACAGCTTGCAGGTTCCACCAAGGCTCCCACCTGACAGCTGCGGCTCGGCTGCCACCGAAGCAGAAAGTGTAGACGCTGTGAGAGCCTGGCCCTGCCTCTACGCCCTGTAGCTATGTCACTGAAGTCCCTCTGTGCTCTTGGCTTCTCTCAGCTTCTTCCCTAGAACTCAAGCAGCAAAGCCTCCTGTGAGGACTGAAGGAGGCAGTGGCTTTGTAATCGACTGGGTGCAGTTTGATATCACCAATAATGAATTGTCTCCAGGTGCAGGGAGAGCAGGTACTCACTGACGTGGCTCTTGGGGAGGCATAGAGCCCCCCATCCCATGGTGGCTCCTCCATTACTAGGGACAACAGTGGTGCCTGGAATCCCAGCCATAGGACCTCTGCACCTGGTATGTTCTCCTGGGTCCTCCTGTAAACAGTAAAGGTCTCTGGGCAGGCCTGTGCAGGGAGGCTCAGCCTTGGGCAGCGGACGGTCTTTCTCTTCTTGCAGGTGGGGACAGTGTAAAGGTCTCACACATTGTGGGGAAGGTGCTGAGGGATGACAGGCAACTGGGGCTGGCCTGGCCATGGCTTTGACACATCTGAGATCTGACCTCGGCACAGGCCCATCAGAATAAATTAAAGCTGCATGAACGAGGTGGATGGTAACATTAAACCATGACAGTCCCAGAAGTCATGTGAACATGACTATGTGACATCAGTGAAAAATGTGACTAGATACACACACAGTCTTGAAGCAGACGGGTTCTAAATAGAACACCAAAGGCAGAATCCGTAACTATATTTGGAAATACAACAAATTCTGCAACTCCCAAACGATTGCTGGCCATAGATCCAGGCAGAGTGTGAGGGTCCTTCCCATGCAAGTAGATCGTGCACCTCAGCAAGGAAATGGGCAAGACTCCTCTAGGAAGCACAGGCCCGAACAGGCCCTGTAAAAGGAAGGCCCATCTGCCTGTCCAATATTTCAATAGTATGAACTAACCTTCAACTTCATCAAGTGTCAAAGAGATGCAAATGAATACAATGACACTTTTTAACCTGTCATACTGACAAAAATTGACAGAAAAAAGTGTCACTTTTTACAAAGTGAGGCCACCCAGTGGTGACAATGACCATGAGGACAGGGAACTACGGATGCAGGGGTCTGCATGAATGTAAGGTTTAGAGGGCAACAGGGTCACAAATATCACCCCTTGAACATTTGATGCTCAAATCCCACTTTCAAATTCTCTTTAAGAGATAGTAGGATCAATATACAAAGACATATGCCCTAGGCCAATTACTGCAGTTTTGCATATGAGAGTAAGAAATTGGAAATAATATACATGTTCTTCAAGCATGGATTGGCTGAATCAATTATGAAGCATCTACCTCTATGGATCACTAGGCAACCTTTAAAAGTGATTGATATTAATGTATCATTATTGCCATAGAAAAAATATAGAAATGATATAATAATATATTATTCTGTCTTTAAAAGGCTTTGGAAGCAACCCAATTGTCCTTCAATGAGTGAATGGATAAACAAAATGTGGCCTGTCCATACAGTGGCATATGATTTAGCTTTAACAAGGAAAGAAATTCTGACACATGCTACAACATGGGTGAACCTTGTGAACATTACCCTAAGTGAAATTAACCAGATACAAAAGGACAAATACTAAATGATTCCCCTTATATGAGGTACCTAGAGCAGTCAAATTCATAGAGACAGAAATTACAATGGTGGTTGCCAGGGGCTAGTGGGAGGGGGAATGGGGACTGGTTTAATGGGGACAGAGTTTCAGTTTTGCAAGATGAAAAGGTTCTGGAGATTGGTTGTGCAACAATGTGAATATAATTAACCCTACTGTACACTTAGAAATGGTTAAGATGGTAAATTTTTTAATGTGTCTTTAACCATAATTTTTTTTTTTTTTTTGAGACGGAGTCTCACTCTGTCGCCCAGGCTGGAGTGCAGTGGCGCGATCTCGGCTCACTGAGAGCTCCGCCTCCGGGTTCACGCCATTCTCCTGCCTCAGCCTCCCCAGTAGCTGGGACTACAGGCCCCCACCACCATGCCTGGCTAATTTTTTGTATTTTTTTTAGTAGAGACAGGGTTTCACCGTGTTAGCCAGGATGGTCTTGATCTCCTGACCTCGTGACCCTCCCGCCTCAGCCTCCCAAAGTGCTGGGATTACAGGCATGAGCCACCATGCCTGGCCTTTAACTATAATTTTTAAAAAAGCCTCCAAAGCAGTATGTATGATGTGTTCCCATTTTGGTAATATAGCAAGAAAATATTAATAATAATGTGGTTATCAATAATTGTTTTCTTCTTATACTTGTCTGTATATTCTGATGGTTTGGTCAGTGAGAAAATTTACAGAAAAACTATTGCAAAATAATAACTAAGTTGCACAATCAAAACAAACATAAAGCAAACCATTTTTTTCTGTTTATAAAAGTAATACATGTTCATTGTAAAAAATCTGAAAAAGCAAAATATGTAATGCTAAAAAGAAAGAGCACTTGTCATCCCACTATTCAACATAAATATTTGAAAAATCATTAACTTGAATATTTCTGTATTGATTTCTTTCTAATTTTTTTCTATGAATAAATTTTCCTTGCAAAATCATATCTAGAATAATTCCTATATAGAGTTTTAACTTTCATCAAGTAGTCTTAAAAACCTGATTTAAATAGATAAATGATGTTCCATTGCATGCACGGGACATAGTTTATGACCAGTTTTCCTTTTGTTGGTCATTAACTAGTTTCCATTTTTTTCTCAATGGCAAGTCATATCGGAAAGGACAAGTTTGTGCATAAATCTGGCTGCAAATCTGAATTTCTTTGAATCAGTTTCTGAACATAGACTTACCGGCTCAGGGCTCTAGTGCAAGGTTGTTTTCTGGAAATGTACCTATTTAACCTCTTTCCAACAGTGTTATAATTCCAGAATATCCCTGTCAATTGGATGAAAATAGCATCTTGTTTGCATTTGTGTTTCTTTGATCAGTGGTGAGGTTGAACATTTCCCAGTGTAAGGACTGGCCATTGGCATGCTCTGTCTTCATGCTACTCGGACTGGTGTTATCCTGATTGTGTGGAAGTGCCTGGTATCGGGCTGGGTGGGTGGTGCCATCTCATTGCCCTCTGAGGCCCCTCCTTGTGTGTGAAGCTTCCCCCTCATGTGCTGAGCCATGGCCCACCCTTGGTTCCTTTTGGGCAGCTTGGAGCTGAGTGACAGCCGGTGACCCCAGTCTGCTGGGCTTACGGGACGGGCACCTTGGGGAAAGGGGATGGGAACTTCAGGGCCAAGGTTGGCCTGAAAAACATGTGTTAAACTTTGAGGACTTTAACCAGGCAGGAGTGACTCATTAACTCCCTGTCACCCATCAATGCCCGCCAGCCAGATTCAGCTGGGGAGGGCAGGCTGGGGCTGGGGAGGTGATTTGGACCTGTCTTCCCTTCTGAATGGGAACTCAATTCCTTTCCAGTGGACACTGAAGCCTTGGCTGTGGAATATTCTCATGATTTCCATCTGTCGTTTTATTTGGCTCCTTTGGTGTGTCCATTCTGCTCTTCAGTCTTTGGATTGAGTTTGCATGGATATCATCAAGCATTACATTTCCAGGAATCATCTCTCGTTTTCTGAGTGCTCCTTTTTCATGGCGGCTGGTTCTTGTTTTATGGGTTCACCATGCCCATGGCAATAGCAATAGCGCCTGCCTAGCGGGAGATTATATGTTAGGTGAGGTGGAAGTTGTAGAGCACTCAGAACAGTGCCCGGCCTTCAGTAATTGCTCGAATGTTAGCTCTCAGCTGTGTGCCTGGGATACAGGAAGCACTCAGTAAAATTACCTATTATATTATCTGGTGGTCCACAGATGTTTTTCTAAGAAAGCTTGGAAGTTCCAGGGCTATGTCAATGGTCTGCCCCCTTCCTCATGCCATAGCCCAGGGAGGCCTAGCAGCCCAAACCATCTGTCCTTCCCCAAGGCATTGTCCCATCTGCCCCCAAAGAGCTGTAAGTTAAGAGTCCTCCACTCAAGACCCCCCAAAGGCTGTTTTGGCTGAACTCTTGGTGCAGAGGAGAAAGCAGAGACCGGTGGAGGGTGGTGACTTGCTCAGATCTCTGCAGCCAGTTAGAGCAGGGCTTAGCCTGCAGGTCTCCAGGCTCCCAACCTGCTGGCAGGGAGACATCACACCCTGGGCTGATGATGACTCCTTCTGCCGGATTCCCTTATAGAGCAGCTCTGTGCCTTCCTGCCCTCCTTCCTCTCCCCAGGGGCTGGAGCCCGTGTGTGTGTGTGTGTGTGTGTGTGTGTGTGTGTGTTTGAGTCATCTTGGGCCACGCGAGTGAGGGCTGTGACTGAGCAATGGCAGAGCCACAAAGTGGGAGGAGCCTGGGCCCCACACTGGGTTACCATCCCCATCCCTGACACTCAGCAGGTGGGAGGCCAGAGGGAGAGAGACAGTCTCCTGTTTAAGACACTGTTCTTTTTTGTCTCTGTGCCAGCATGGGGACTGTGTCCTGGCTCCTCGCAGTGGCTGGCCTGTACCCACCTAGCCACTGGTCACTGTTGGGACCTCCAGGACCCTGACCCTACATTCCTCACTCCCAAGCCAGGGGGCAGCAGGCTCCTACAGTCATGCAGGTGCAAGGACAATAAGGACCCTGTGGCAGCCAACACGGGTACAGGTGAGTGCCAGGCAGCACTGCCCTCCGTGTGCCTCAGCTGTGTCCTGCCCCAGCTCTTCCTGCAGGCTCGCACTTCCCACCTTGTATTGGGTCCCTCTCTACCTCCTCCCCCTTCCTGGGGTCTTAAAGCCTTCTCTATAGAGGAGGTAGCAGATTCTCCCAAATTCCCACTACCTTGCCATTTTCCGGATTGGGAGTAGTTTTTGCTGCCAACAAACAGCAGGGCCTGGCTGGTCAGCACTCACAGTGCTGGCAGAGCTTTAGCCTGCCTTGCAAAGCCCAGCACCTCATTCACACCAGCCTAGGTGGGGGTGTCATGGACCCTGCCATGGGCTCAGTCACAGCTCAGGGAAACTGGGACATGGCCAACACGGTTCTGAGAGGCAAGTGTTCGGCGCAGCTCTGGAGCTTTGCTGGTCTCTGAGCAGCATGTCCTCATCTACAGAGCGGGGAACAGACTGCGGCCTCTCAGCACATGCTGAGGGCTCAGGAGGCCTCTGCAAAGGGCTTTGTTAGCTGTGAAGTGTACTGCATATGCTGCCACTAACCAAAGAGCTGGAGAAGCCTCCAAGGAAGGTTGCCCCAGACAGGGTGATTTGTGGTGAGGATGGGGCAATTAAAGGCAGAGGCAAAGATGTGAGGCCAAGGCTTTGGGAAGCTCTGCCAGACCGAAGCCCCTCCCCAGACTGAGGGTGTCAGTGGTGGAAGGAATTCCTATGCCACTTGCTGCCATCTCCATCCTGAGCTGGCTCCACCAGGGTGGTCTAGACACTGCCTTCTTCCCAAACCTCTGCCTCTCTTGGAAGACCAGCCTGAATCACAGCCCCAGACCTTGAGTCCCGCCCACAGGGACCCACTCCTCCACTGCCTGGGATCCTCCTCAGAGGCCCAGCCCTGAACCAGCGTGGCTGTAAGCGAGGAAACTTGGGTGTGAATTCTGCTCTGCTGAGGACCCAGCACTGCTTTGGGTGAGCTGCTCCGCCCTCTGCTTCCTCCTCTGCAGGCAGAGGTGGGGCGGGCTGCATGCTCACCAGTATCCTCCTGTGCCCTTCTGGTAACAATGACAACACTCTGGTTTTGTGCTGGGGACTTCCCTCCCCACTCTGTTCATGAGATTCAGCAAGGTCAACTCTTCTCCCTTTCCAGGGCTGGCCCAGGCCTGGCTGTCAGTGGCCCACCTGCCCCTGGCCACAGCAAATGGGTCAGAGATGAGCTTGTGACACTAGCAGGACCAGCCAGCAGCCAGCCAGGGCCCCTGCTGGGCCCATCAGCATCAAGCAGTGCAGCCTGGAGCTGCTGAGACAGGCCCATGTGGAGGGAAGTGAGACCAAGAAGCCAAGGATCAGGGTCCCCCCAGCAGCAGAGGCCCTGGCATCAGCTGGGCCTGGAGCCCACATTGGAGGCTCCGCTTACTTCAGCCTATCAACTCCATTTCCCCTTAGACAAATGTGGGTTGGACTGGTTTCAACTGAAGTGTGCTTGAACTAGGGATGGTTGTCTCTGAGCCTGGGGCTGGAGAGTGGCCTTGGAATAGGAGCCGCAGCAAACAGGATTCTTGAAGGAGCAGGAGGGAGGCTAAGGTCAGAACGAGGAAGGCTGGCCAGAGGCTAGGAGGTGCCTGAGAGCGGCACACCCAAACACACATCTGCTGTGTATCTGCTCTGGACTGGACACTCAGACAGCGTGTCTGTGCTGGGGGCCTGGCCTTGTGCTGGCGGCAGGGGATCTGCAGATGATGCAGGCCTGGTTCCCACTGCCATGGTGCTCATGGTCTAGGGGAGGGAGCAGCATGTGCCCAGCACACTTCATGGCTCACTCAGAGCTCAGTGGAGTCCTGGGAATGGAGGGCCCTGCGGCAGGCCACTGCTTGGGAGGGCCGTTAGAAGTTACAGGTGGCCAAGGTGGGGAGCGCCTGGGCCACAGGACCCTGAGGAAGCTCCACTGGACCTGTGGACAACAGTGCTCAAGAGGATGAAGCACCAGTGAGGTGGCCTCAGAGCACGGGGGACTGGGGAATGAGAATGGAAGAAAAAACAACAAAAAAAAGTAATATAAAATTTTTTCAGAGCTAAATAAAAGCATGAAGTCTTCTTCACATGCTGACCAAATAGAAGAAGAATGAATAAATGAAGCCAACACCAGGTAAGTCACCATAAAATTTCAGATAATCAAGGATAAAGAGAAGATCCCAAAAGCTTCTTAGAGAAAAAAAACAGGTAGCCTCTGTCTTAGTCCACTGAGGCTGAGATAACAAAACTACCGTAAACTGGGTAGTTTATAAACAACAGAAATGTATTTCTATCAGTTCTGGAGTCCAGGAAGTCCAAGATCAAGGAGCAGGCAGATTCAGCCTAGTGAGGGCTCACCCTCGGGCTCACAGATGATGCCTGCCATAGATGGATGTTTGACCCTCCCAAGCTCGTGTGGAAATGGGGAGGTGGAGCCTGGTGGGACGTGTCTGGGTCAAGGAGGTGGTTTCCTCGTGAATAGATTAGTGCCCTCCGGGGAGAAAGGGGGTGAATTCTCACACTGTGAGCTCCCTAGAGACCTGGTTGTCAAAAAGAGCCTGGCACCTCCCCTCAACCTCGCTTTCTCTCTCACAGTGTGACCTCTGCACATAATGATTCTCCTTCACCTCCACATAATGATTCTCCTTCACCTCCACCATAAGTGGAAGCTTTCTGAGCCCTCACCAGGAGCAAATGCTTCCTGTACATGCATTTGCTGTACAGGTGCCATGCTTCCTGTACAGGTGCCATGCTTCCTGTACAGCCTGCAGAACTGTGGGCCAAATACACCGCTTTTCTTTATCATTTACCCAGTCTCCGGTATTCCTTTATAGCAATGCAAATGGACTAAGACAGCGTCTTCTCGCTGTGTCCTCACATGGTGGGAGGGAGGAGGGGTTATCTGGGGCCTCCTTTATAAGGGCATGAATCCGCTCAGGAGGGCTCTACCATGTGACCTCATCACCTCTCAAAGGTCCTACTTTCTAATACCATCACCTTGGGGGTTAGGATTTCAACATGTGAATTTTGGGGGGACACAAATATTCAGACCATAGCACCTACAAAGGAATAAAATTCCAGTTGGTATCAAACATCTCATAGCAACACTGGATGCCAGATGACAGTGGAGCAATACCTTCAAGTTCTGAGCAGAAATCATTTTGAATCTAGAATTCCATAACTATCAATAAAGTGTGACAGCAAATTAAAGATGTTTTTAGACATGGTAAGTCTCAGAAAGGTTATCTTCCAAGCACCTTTACTGAAAAAACTTACTTGATGATGTACTCCAAATAAAATAAGAAGGAAACTCAATCATAATCATAATCAATTATAACCATAAAAATAGTGGTATTATGAAAGGAAATCTGAGGGCGGATTTTCAAAAGGTTTAGAAAACACCAGTTCAAATTAGAAAAGAAAGGTGATTTGCATCTTGAAGTATGACAAAGAGACTGAATAGCAGCAATGCTAATGCATGCTGGTCCAGTCCCAGCAGGGCACATGGACACTGCCACAGGGCGATCAAGGGGACTTGAATGCAGGAGAGATTTACAGACACATGGGCAGGGTGAGGGGTTAAGGGACTTAAGGGTTTGGGGAAGGGTTACCTAAACCTGGAGAGATCTCTAGGAGAGGCTGCCTGATAGAGCCATGGCCATGGGTAGAGGGACACAGCCAGTAATGGTGACACATGGGGGGGCCAGGCAGTGGAACACATTGAACCTCACATCCTGCCCACACTCCAGTAGCTTGTCAGTGCCTCCCACGGGCCAAACTCATTCAGAGACCAAAGCTACCTATTCACAGTCTATGCAGCCATGCCTCTGGGGGCACAGACACTATTTGGCAGGCAGGGTGGGGCCATACACTTGTTGTACAGACACAAAAGACACAGGCATATTTTTATTTATTTATTTATTTATTTATTTATTTATTTATTTATTTATTGAGACAGGGTCTTGTTCTGTTGCCCAGGCTAGAGCGCAGTGTGCAATCTTGGCTCACTGCAGCCTCCACCTCCTAGGCTCAAGCAATTTTCCCACCTCAGCCTCCCAAGTAGCTGGGACTAACTACAGGCACACACCACCATGCCTGGCTAATTTTTGTATATTTGTAGAGACAGGCGAAACTGCCCTGTTGTCTAGACTGGTCTGGAACTCCTGGACTCAAGCAATCCGCCCGCCTCGACCTCCCAAAGTCCTAGGATTATAGGCGTGAGTCACGGTCCCCAGCCCAGAACATTATTTAGAACAACAACAACAACAAACAGAACTGGTAGGTGGCACTGGCGCTGAGTAGAATTTTTACTTTTTGTTTCATGCCTTTCTGTAGTGCTTGAACTTTAAAAATGTGTGCAGGTGTTATTTTTAAAAGAATTACTTAAATGAATGGCCTGAACACCAGTCTGGGAGGCTTGAAATTGAACCAACAGGGGACAGAGAATCCCATGGCTTTCATCCTATTGACAAGGTGGCCACTGTTTCCCTGGCTTCTAGCTTTTGCCGGGCTTGGTACACCCTTCCATGAGAGAGCCTGGAGTGGCGGCCACTCCCATTCCCTAGAGCTAACCTGCCCTGCTCTGTGGTCTCTTCCTGCTCCTTGGTGCTGCTCCTTGCTGCTCCCAGTGCGTCTCCCCAGGGTGGCGTCCATAGCCCCCTTCACACTCGTCCTTATCACCTGCACCACCGTCATCCTGCTGGGCCCCCTACACTGCACTGGGATCTCAGGAGGCCCTGGCAGTGTGAGTGGCATCTCATCTCCGCAGCAATGCTCGGCACTGGCAGGACGGCTGTCCAGGAGCAGTGAATACATATCAGAAGGAATGGTAACAGCCTGTAATGAATCTCTGTACTTTCCAATGCCTTTTCCCATCTCTTACTTTGGTTATCTTCAAACAACCTTTTGAGGTAAGTAGGATAGGGGTCTGAGCACCCATTTTATAGATGAGGAAACTGAGGCTCTGAGAGACAAACTGATTTGCCCAAGGCCACTCAGCAGTGAGGGACTGTGTGAAAGAACCAGAGTCCAGGCTGCCACGCATGTACAGCCCCACTAGGCTGGGGTTCAGGCTGCCTGCCTGCCTGGAAATCTGTCAGGTGTCAGAGAGACCACAACTCATGGCAGAGACGGGGATGAGGGGAAGCTGAGGAGCCCTCTGACCCCAGCACCACACTGATGTGTCCATGGACCAGGGGAAGCTGGAGCTCTCATCCCACCTCAGCCCCTGCTGCTTCTGGATCCTCCGGGCAGGGGTATACCTGGGGCTTTGCCAATGCTCAGAGCCAGGGGCAGAGGCTCTCAGGGCAGAGGCTCTCAGGACTCAGCCCTTCTCTGTGTCTTCTTGGACCACCAGGTCCCCAGGTCCCTGGGCTGATGTTCCTCAAAGCTAGGTGTGCTCAGGGCTGGGGGGCTGGGGGTGGGGACAACACTGGTCATGAGAGAGGAGTGGGCCCTCATCTGAGTCGCCTGGTGTCAGAACAGACCTGACCTCTTGTCTACACAGCACCAGGGGTCTGCTTGGTGGGGAAACGGTCCAGCCCAGCCTGAGGAACCTCCTGCAGCATGTTTTTCCTGGCCCCTGGGCACCAGCAGCCCTTCTGCCTGCCTATTCCCTAGCCTCCAGCTCAAAACCACTTCCTGAGCCCAGAATGGGTAGGATCTCTTCAGCACCCCAGCCCTTAGAGGAAGAGGTGGTGAGAAGGTAAGGGACTCTGGCCAGAGACCCTTGAAGCATGGCTGGGGACAGGGGAGCTGAGAGTAGGGGGAATTGTTGCTTCCCACCTGGGAAGGGTGAGGAGAAGTCAGTCACTGTGGGAGGTCACAGGGCTTGATGGCCACAGTGGGCCCTTTGTGCACAGACCATTGAGCCACTGAATGGGGCCCTCAAAATGCTTCCTGGAAGAGGGCAGGCTGGGCTCAGACCCCCGGGCAGGCATGAGCTAGTGGGGAGGCTGGAAGTCTCAGGTATGTGTGTGGAACAGGGGATGAGGACAAGATTGGTGGCTACAGTACTGTGGAAGAGAGCACCAGACCTTGAAGAGCTTCTCCAAAGATCCCATATCCATTGGCAGCTTTACTGGGGCAAGAAGAAAATCTCATTTCCTCAACATGTTTCAGAAGTGTTCTAGGTTCTGGGGATACAGCAGTGAATAAAAAAATACAAGTCCATGCTCTTAAGGAGCTTGTCTCCTGATAGGAGAGACAGGCAAGAAACAAATCAATAAATAATATAAAGATCAGGATCATGAAGCAAAATAAACAGAGGCCAGGAAACTGAGGGCAGCAGATGTGCTGTTTTAGACGGGATGGGTGAGGAAGGTGTCTGGGATAAGGTGGCATCTGAGCAGAGACCTGAGTATGCGATGGAGCAATCCATGCAGCTGTTTAGGGGGAAACAAGAGACAATAGAAGAACGTTTCCCTGAACGAAGAAAGACTTGAGTTTCCAGATTAAAAGGATACACCAAGCATAGAGTAGTAACAATGAAAACAGAAGGAGGCTAGAGTCAGACATATCCTGGTAAAATGTGTGAAATTCAAGCATGGAGAAAGATCACTCCAAAAAGGCACCAGGCCCAAATGGTTTTATAGGCAAGGTCATACAATATTTAACCAATATAATTTATATCCTTCCAAGGCCCTTTTCTATACTTGATTATGTAGAAGTAGGGAAGGAATTGCTTTGGAAGAAAAGAAACTTAGAGATTTTCACTGCTATGAAGATAAATCTTTACTGTTTTTGGTCATCTGTTTTGAAGAGCACCACCTGACTTTGTTCTCTCCTTTCTGCCAAGGAATCTCAATGATAGATTCTCCCCACTATATTGAGGGAGCTTTTCTCCTTAGATATGGTTTGGGGTAAATGCTGTACCTAGCTGTAGGGCATTAAAGATTGTGGTGAAAACTTGGGCTTTACTTACTCTGAGTGAGTTGGGAGCTGCTGGAAGCTTCTGAACCCAGAAGGGACCTGATCTGACTCAGGTTTTAACAGGACCATCTTGGCTGTTCTCCAGTTTCTAGCCAGTGGGGCCTCCTCCCTGTGTGCTGAAGGTGCTAACGATGTGTCTTTGCTTCCAAGCTTTTTCTGACCTTTTGCTGCAGCTTTCACCAAGGAGATGGGAGGCACTAGACTGAGAGTATGTGAGGAGTGAAGACCGAGGGCGGGCAGGGCAGATGGAGAAGTGCTGTGGCTATGCCCAATCCAGACCTGCACTGAGACAAAATGAGGAATACAGGCCTCTATCTCTTCTCTTATGAAAATGGACAAATTCCACTGTTCTGCCCAGGCTAGCCAGGGCTGCTGTAATGCCAGAGTGGTCATTCCAACTTCTGTGAACTAGAAAGCCTCTCACCATCCTCAACACAAATGTCCTTAAAGCCCTCTGGCAACGCATTGGTTTGGCTCCTAGTGGCAGCAGCAGCTGAATCCCTGGCACTGACCTGGTGCACAGTGTCCCCAGATCCCTGGTCAAGCAAGCCTAGACCTATAGCATTCCAGAGAGCCTGGAAAGGGTATGGTTAAAAATTCCTGTTCTAGCAATGTCTTCAAGAAGAAGCAGGAGAAAATGCTCCCCACCTCCCAGTGCCAGGAGGGGAGAGGAAGGAAGCTCAGTAGGACAGCTCTGCACAGGTGGCCTGGGGGTGTCTGCAAGATGACCTGGCTCTACCTCTCTACCTGCTCCTTCCCAGCTGTGGGGCTGGGGAGGGCTGGTGCCCTCTCTGAGTCGGTTTCTTCATCTGTAAAGTGCTTGGCTGAGGATCCAGCTGGAGTGTGGATTAAAGGGCACAGCAGGGTGCCTAGCACCGTCAGCCCACGTGTTTTTCTTGGGCAAGCCACTCTGAGCCTTACTCTTCCTGTCTCTAAGCGGGAACCCAAATGCGAGCCAGGATTGCTGCGGACTAAAGCAGTCTACGAACGCTTTTGTAGACTGCGAAGCATTGTTTGGTCTTCAGAAAGGTGCCCCAGAGACAAGGTGTCATTGGTTTCAGGTGGGGGGGGGGGGGGCCGGTCAGCAAACCTCCTTAGTCCTGGAGGGCAGGGTGGCAGCGCAGAGCGCGCGCAATTTCCGGAGGGTAACTGATTGTCCTGCTGAAAGCCCAATACCGTATTTATCCAAAAATACGTCCTTCTAGGCAAGTGATTTATCTGACACTCAGCGGGGGACAGAGCTGCTTGTACCGCGCTGGGGATGAAGGTGGGGACGTGGGCCAGACCGGGCCAGACAGGCTCCCCAGCGCTTCCCGCTCAATCACGCAGACTGCACTTTGGGGCGATCTCAGAGCTTTTCTTAAGTCTTCAGGCCAGTCTCACGTTCTCACCTTGGGAACCGAGCTTTAGAAGCCGGCCCTCGTGGACGCCGCGAGACAGCGGCGAGAGGTGGGAAGCAAGGAGGTGGCTGCGGGCCAGGGACCAGGCAGCGTGTTGGGGGGCGTGCGCGTCTGGCAGCTCCGGGATCCCCGAGCATCCGCCGCTCAAGTCCGGGAGCCGCGCGGGCGGGCCGGGGCGGGGCCAGGGCGGGGCCAGGGCGGGGCGGGACGTGTGACGCGCAGCGCGGGCCAATGGGGCGCGCGCCCGGGGCCGAGCCTCCTGCGAGCCTTCGCGGCGCCCGCTGCGTCACGTGAGCGGCGGGGAGTGAGTGCCCAGCGAGCTGCGGGCGGGCTAGTGCTCCGCCGCAGCGACCCGCGGGCCGGCGGGCGATCGAGCCAGCGCAGGACCCGCGGCTCGGCCCCCGGCCGCCGCCGGACCGAGAGTCTAGCCGCCGCCCCCAGCCCAGCCCGCCCGGCCGCAGGACCGCCGGGGCCTGGCCGCCGGTCCGGCGTGCGCCAAGTTCAGGTGGGAGAGGCGCGGCGGGGCCGGCCGGCCGCGTGGACGCGGCCCCGGGTGATCAGAGGGCTGGCCGGCCTCGGGGCGCGTGGCCGTGCTCCCGCGCAGCTCTCGGAGGCACCGCGCGAGTGCTGGAGGAATGTCGGAGGAGCGGGATGGGCCCCCGCGGAGGTGGGCAGGGGTCGGACTGGCCCGGGGGAGGTGACCCCCCCCGCCCCGGTCGCCCACCAGCACTTTGCTGAGGCCCGCGCCGCCGCCTCGGTGCCTGGCCGGGCGATTCCGTGGCGCGCCTTGCGGGCCGGCCCTCCCATATGGTGGGCACCGGCGCGGCCTGGTGAGAGGAGGGGGAGAGCGGACGCGCTGGCCAGCCCGGGGTTGGGGGGCGGAGGGGCTGGAGACGGAGGGGTTACTGTCGGTCACCGCAGCAGTGTCGGGGGCAAGGGGGGGGCGTGGGACGAGGGCATGGTGCCCAGCGGGCAGCGGTCCAGGACTCTAGAAGGGGTCTGAGCCGGCTCTCTTCATTTCCCACGCACGTTTCCCCTCACCCGCCGGCACCCACGGCGGCTCCACGCGCGAGTCCTTCGCGGACAGCCTCCCGCACAGCCACAGCGGCTGCCGCGCACCACGCCCCGCACACGCAGTCACACGACAGGAACTCACACCCCTTCACGCACACCCGCACCGTTCACGCGTCTCACTCCACGCTGAGTCCCCGTCCGCTCAGACCGAACATTACCAAAGCCATGGCCTGACCGAGGGATGGCGGCGGCGGGGCAGAGAGGCCGTCCCCATCCCATATGGTGGTCCGGTTCACTCTTCCCTCCCCGCCTTGGTGTTACTCATGGAACCCCCCTCTCACGGAGGGCACAGAGGGGCTGTTTTCTCCCACGGCCCTCGGAGGTGACAAAATCAACAATTGTTTGAGAGCCTCAAATCTCCTTCCCCCTGTCCCCCCGGACCAGGTGGCCCCTGGGGAGACCCTGCCGCCCTACAGGTGTGAGGACGCCCGGACTCTGCGACTTTGGGGCCTGCGGGCGGCTCAGGGACCGGAGACTCTTATTTTGAAGGACAGCCCCCGCCGCCACCCCCGTGATTTGCACGCTGACCCAATGGCAAGCCCTTGGCCGGCGCTGGGCTTGTTATCAATTACATGTTGTTCCTGCAGCCGCTGTGTCCCCGGGAGGATAAACAGCAGGCCTGGCCGGGCCAGGGGAGGGGGCGGAGTCCGGCGGCCAGCCGGGGACTGTGCCCGGAACAGCGTGTCCCCTCCCCCTGCACGCAGCCTGCGCCTCTGGCCGCCCCACGTGCTGCTGTGTTTCAGGGGCCGAGCCAGCTCCAGCCCTAGAGTGTCCTCTCTTTAATGCCGGTGCCCTGGGACATCCCAGAGCCCTTTCTGGGTTGTCAGTGCCTGGGTGCTTCCCCCTTGGGACGTTCAGCCCAGCATTAAGACCCTGTTGGCTGACCTGGGCCACCCATTCCTACTCTCCGACCTCCCCCGCTCTCCCCCGCACCTTCCATTCACTCATTCAGCAAATTTTGCCCGGTCCTGTTTTAGACTCTGGGATATGGCCTTGGAGTGAACAGTCAGGACAGCTGATATTCTGATGGGAAGGTAGACAGGGAGGAAAGTTCACAAACACATCACCAAGATAGTTTCCCACAGTAGAAACTGCAGGGAAGAGTATAATATAGGATGATGTAACAGAGTGGGCCTGGAGGCCCCCACAGGGGTGACTTCTGAGCCGAGATCTAACTAAGCAGCTCCCACCTGCAGTGCTGGGGGAAGAGCCAGGGCAGTGGCCCCGGGCTGAGGCTGAAGTGAAGTGAGCACACCTGGACTAGAAGAGAGGCAGTTGGTGGTGAGGTCTGCAGAGAGTCCCAAGGGCCCAGGTGCTGGGCTGCTGCGAGGAGATAGGGCCACCTGTCCTTGGGAAGCCATTGGAGGGTGTTTCCTTCCAGCCCCCCTACTGTACTTTTTAGATCACTTTATCTGTCAATATCTGTTTATATGTTTAAAAGGTAAGGCCTCCTTTAACCACAATATGATCATCACAATTAAAAATATTAACAGTAATTACTTAATATCATGGGATGGCCAGTTAGTGATCACGTTTCAGGGGAGGGCTCTAAGGCCTGCTCTGGGTCCCAGGAGGGCTGGAGGCCCCTGATTCCTTAACATCACAGTAGAGGGGCAGAGGCCGAACGTTTGCCGTGCCTGCAGGCTGACACCAATGGCTGGCACTGGCTGAGTGCTGCCGGTGTGCCAGATCCTGAGGGGGGTGCTTAGTGAGCGTCAGCTCACGGAATTCTCACAACACCTGAGGAACCAGGCACTGTTGGAAGCACCCCCATCTCACAGACTGAGACAGACACAGAAAGGCTGTGCACCTGCCTGAGGTCACCTGGCAGACAACTTGCAGACTCAGAAATGGAGCCCCTGCTTGGAGGGTGGGAAAGGGTTGGGGGAGGCCCAGGGTGGAGTGTGGGCTCTGCCCAGCCTTGTGCCCTTCACAGTGTCTAGCACTTTCATTCCTTCCCAGCACCTGATTTGGTGAATAGGTGCATTTTAAAACATATTCCAGGTTTAAATCCTTAGCTGAGTATTTAAACCAAAAAGCCAAATGTCCTCCTAGTAAAACTGGCCTGGGGCACAGACCTTGCCTTAGTTTCCTGGAGCTCCGTGAAGCTTCCTGGGTAAGTTGGGAACTGGGGCTAAAGGTCCTGGGGTCCCTGAGCAGGAAGAGACTTAGAGATCTTTGAAGCATGGAACAGATGAGGAAACTAAGGTTTGGGAAGGGGAGCAAGGACTTGCTCAAGGTTGTAGCTGATGATGGTATTGGCCATTGGGCAGTGCCGGGTGCCAGGCCCTGAAGGGGTCCTGGAGACAGAGGGGCTGGGTGTAGAGGTGATGCTGGGCAGCAGAGAACCTCTGACTTTGGTGCAGAGCATTCCCCTTCCCCAAGCTTGATAAACACCCAGCCTGCCCTGGTCACTGAGCAGGGACAAAGGTTCACAGAGGTGGCCCCGTCACAGCTGGACACTATTGACTCTCCTTGGCACCAGACCTAGCATGTCCTTGGCTTCAGAGGATGCAGCTTTCCCTTCTCCTCTCTATCAAAGTTCTCTGAGCCCCTGCTGGGCACCAGCGGCCAGTCCAGGCACTGGGGACGCAGCAGAGACATGGAGTGCACTGTCTCAGGGGGAGACAGGCATTAGCTGAACCTTCGCAAGGCGGTGAGTGTCCCAGATGGAGAGAGCAATGGCAGAGAGTGCAGGGGACTCCACTTCCTTATTGGTCAGGATGGGCTGGGGGGGTGGTTGTCTCCTTTCCCACTAGATGGGTGTGAAGTCCAAGGCAGTTAGGCACATGCGGGTGCTCTGGGACCCCAGTGGTCTGCTTCCACTCCACGGATTATCACCAGAGGGGCAGGGCCTTGGCCACCAGGATGCTCAAGCATCAGGGTGCAGGTGAGAGGGTTGCGTTCAAGCCTGTGCCACTCACAGGGCAGTCAAGGCTCAGAGGGGTTTGAGGACTGGAGAGTGGAGGAGCTTTAGGTGGGGAAACAGCTGCGCAGGCAGGCACTTTTTGGTCTTTGACTGTTTTGCCTACATGCTACACTTGCCCAGTTAAAATGCAGGCGGCCTAGTTAAATTTGAATCTCAGGTGAAATAATTTTTAAATGTAAGTGTGTCCTATCCAATATTGGGAACATACTTATATTAAAAATAGTTTATTTTTTAAATCTGAAATTCGAATGTAACTGTTGGCTTGTATTTTTATTTGCGTAATCTGGCAACCCTCTGGAAGCCTCAGCAACATGAGGGTCAGAGGGCAAATGGCTGTTCTACCCCCATTCTGTGACTCAACAGGCGTGAAGCTGAGGTCAGGAGTCCTCAGATGTACAGTGACTCCTATGATGTTGACGGTGGGCTGATTCAGGGCTTTGGCCCTCCTGGGGTCCAGAGAGCCTCCTCGCGCATGCCCTTCTCTCATACTCACCCATACTCAGTTGTTCACAGACATATGTGCTATTTTCCAGGATAATTCTGGAAAATCTGTTTGAAACCAGAAGTGCCCCTGGTTATGCAATGGGCTTGGAGAGGTCTCTTTTGCAAACAGGTGGTGCAATTTCAGAAAACACTCTTGCAGGCACAGCTCTCCTGGGGGATGGAAGCAGGATCCAGGCGTTTGGCAATAGGAGGCTGTGGGCAGGCAGCTGAGGGTGGGGTCAGAGGCCTGCGAGGTGGCAGGTGAGCACTGTCCTTCTGACCAGGCCTCCTGTGTTCCTTTCCTGCAGCCGCCACCGGCACGGCCAGGCCAGCATGGTGGACCACTTACTTCCAGTGGACGAGAACTTCTCGTCGCCAAAATGCCCAGTTGGGTATCTGGGTGATAGGCTGGTTGGCCGGCGGGCATATCACATGCTGCCCTCACCCGTCTCTGAAGATGACAGCGATGCCTCCAGCCCCTGCTCCTGTTCCAGTCCCGACTCTCAAGCCCTCTGCTCCTGCTATGGTGGAGGCCTGGGCACCGAGAGCCAGGACAGCATCTTGGACTTCCTATTGTCCCAGGCCACGCTGGGCAGTGGCGGGGGCAGCGGCAGTAGCATTGGGGCCAGCAGTGGCCCCGTGGCCTGGGGGCCCTGGCGAAGGGCAGCGGCCCCTGTGAAGGGGGAGCATTTCTGCTTGCCCGAGTTTCCTTTGGGTGATCCTGATGACGTCCCACGGCCCTTCCAGCCTACCCTGGAGGAGATTGAAGAGTTTCTGGAGGAGAACATGGAGCCTGGAGTCAAGGAGGTCCCTGAGGGCAACAGCAAGGACTTGGATGCCTGCAGCCAGCTCTCAGCTGGGCCACACAAGAGCCACCTCCATCCTGGGTCCAGCGGGAGAGAGCGCTGTTCCCCTCCACCAGGTGGTGCCAGTGCAGGAGGTGCCCAGGGCCCAGGTGGGGGCCCCACGCCTGATGGCCCCATCCCAGTGTTGCTGCAGATCCAGCCCGTGCCTGTGAAGCAGGAATCGGGCACAGGGCCTGCCTCCCCTGGGCAAGCCCCAGAGAATGTCAAGGTTGCCCAGCTCCTGGTCAACATCCAGGGGCAGACCTTCGCACTCGTGCCCCAGGTGGTACCCTCCTCCAACTTGAACCTGCCCTCCAAGTTTGTGCGCATTGCCCCTGTGCCCATTGCCGCCAAGCCTGTTGGATCGGGACCCCTGGGGCCTGGCCCTGCCGGTCTCCTCATGGGCCAGAAGTTCCCCAAGAACCCAGCCGCAGAACTCATCAAAATGCACAAATGTACTTTCCCTGGCTGCAGCAAGATGTACACCAAAAGCAGCCACCTCAAGGCCCACCTGCGCCGGCACACGGGTGAGAAGCCCTTCGCCTGCACCTGGCCAGGCTGCGGCTGGAGGTCAGTATAGCGAGTGACAGGCCTGGGCAGTGAGCACAGCCACTCATGTCTGCTTACTTGGGTGTGCAGCAGGGCCATTTTCCACCATTAACAGAAGGTAGATGAGGGAGGGGAGGGAGGGGCAGGCGGGTGCAGGCCCAGAGCTGGCACAGTTGCCTGGAGGCTTCCTTGGTCCTCCTGGTTCCTGAAGCCGGAAGCCAACTGGTGTCCAGTTTCCTGATGGCCAGGTAAGGCTTCACTGGCCTGTGCTGCCAGCTGGGTCTCCCCATCCAGTCTGACAAGGGTGGGGATTGAGGGGCTGGCGAGGAAGGATGAGTGCGGTCTAGGGGCCAGGCAGCGGCTCCCTTTGGGCCCACAGCCCCACAGGGTAAGTACCACCATCACTCCCAACTTACATCACAGGACACTAGGGCTCCGACTGGCCAGGTACTTGCCCAAGGTCACTCTGCTTTGTGAATGGGATTTGAACCCAGAGGCCGGATTCGAGAGGTCACATCCTGAAAATGCTGCTTCCCCAACCAGTGGGACTAGCTTCATTCACAGATGTCTCTGGACACATGGGCTGGGCCTCGCCTATGCTTCCTCCCTGGGGACGTGGAAGCATGTTTGGGAGGCTGCAAAGGCCAACCCAGAGGGAGGCTAGGCCAGCTGGTGGTGCTGTCACAGGTGGCAGAACCCAGGCTGTCTGGTCTGCATGGCAGTGGGGAAATCAGGCCTCAAATGGTAACTGGTAGTCTCCCAACCAGGGAGCACCCTTCCCTGAGCACCGGGTGCTGCTCAACCTCCTTGGGAGTGGCTGTCCACCTTTTCCTGAAATGTAGGCTGCTTGCGAAGAGCTCATGTGCTCCGGGGTGCCAGAGCCAGCCCTCTGCAGTTCCTGATGCCCATCCCAAAGGAATCTCTGGCCTGCCTGGGGGGCGCTGTGTGCTGTTGGCACATTCCAAATCTTTGCTGCTGTGGCTGCTGCTACGTGTGTGAGACGGGGCACACTCATCTGTATCCCTGGGGGTGTATACAGGCCTGGGCCTCGCCAGCAGGTGTGTGGCTGTGTGTGTGCACACCCACATGTGTATGCATCTTGCTTTCTTTGTGTCTGTCTGTGCCGTGTGACCATATGTGTTTGCACACATACATGTCTTAGGTGTTTGTGCACCATGTGTGGCTGCCTGTGTGTGCATGTGTTATGTGTGGGTGCAACACCCGGGGAGCAGTTTGCAGCTTTTGTTTTCTTGACCATACTCTGGTTCTGAGAGCTCTTGAGAGTTGTCTGGGGCAGAGGTTCTGGCCAGTGAGGCTGAGCTGTGGTCAGGGAGCTGTGAGTGGAATGTATGTTGTGGCACTGGTGCCACCTTTCCATTGAGTGCCAATCTGGCCAGAGAAGGGAATTTTCCTGAACAGTGTCTAGGTTTATGGAGGCCCCTCCTGAGTGAGGACATCACTCTGTCCTGTCTCCCACCCCATTCAGACAGACCGGAGAGGCTTCTGTGAGAGCCCACCCTGGGGCCTCACAAGGTCTCCATCCTGGAGTCCCCACCTCTCTGAGCTTTGTACCTAGGCCTGCCGAGTGGGTGCATGGCTGACAGGTTGCTTGTGAGAGGAGGACACAGCAGCAAGTACACTGCATAGGAGGTTAGAGGAGCCGAGAGAAGGGCCAGGAGTGCTCTTGATTGAAGCAGGAAACTTGTGCAGAGAAGGCGAGGGCACAGGTATGTGGGGGCTGTGGTCTTGAGCCTACGCCTGGGTCAGCCACTAACTTGTCATGTGCCTTTGGGGTGGTCCCCCTCCAAACCTCAGTTTCCTGTCTGCAGAGTGGAGGGCTAGCCCTTTGCAGCCCAGGGCAGGCGTGCAGGGCTCCACAGCGGCCTCCTTGTTGTTTGTACATCATAAGGATACAAACTCATACACGGCAGTTTCTGAGGAGGAACCCTGAAGGCATTCTCTCCAGCCCCCAAGAGGGTGGTGCCTATTGTGAAGGGACCCCCTACTCCCAGGGACCCTGTATGCACTCTCCTCTTGGTGAGGGCGGGCAGGGGCTGCAGAGAGGCAGGGAAACCTCCCTCCAAGCACCAGTCTGGACTCCTTAGTCGGGCTCAGGTTTCAGCGCCGTCTCCTGGCCATAGTCGACCGTTGGCAAGTAGCTCCTCTAGATGCCGTGAGGCTGGGTAGGGTGATGGGGAGGGCAGGTGTGGTCCTCATCCAAGGCCAGCCTTCTTCCTGGATATCTTAGGGCCAGAGAGCTGATAGGCCCCTCAGCCCAAAGTGTATCTCAGTGAGGCAGATCTTAGTTCTCTATACAGTGGCCTCAGGAGGTAATGAGTTCCTCATGGCAGGGGGTGTACATGAGAGAGTGGGGACCTGTGGAGGGGATTCAGCTCTGACACATCTGAGCCCTGGCACTGGTCGTGCTGCCCAGGACCCACTTGGCAAGAGAAGGTGTAGTGGTTGCCTGGCCCAGTGAGATCACAGTGGCACTGCCCCCAGGAGCTGTCCCTGCTGCCAGCCATGCCCCGGGCTTCCTGAGGGCTCCTCCAGCTTCCCCCAAGGTCCCCTGGAGTGGGTCTGGCCCTGGTGGGGTAACTCATGGCAGAGGCGCTGTTCGGCTGGGAGCTGAGGACACCGGCCTCTAGGGAGGGCTGCTTTTCTGAGGATGCGGGGAGTCCTCAGCTGGCTTTCAGGGATCTTGAAACCCTGGGGATGTGCCCAGTCTGCTTGTGTCTCTTAATGTGGTGATAGTCTTCAACTGAGAGGGAGCCCCTGCAGCTCCTTACAGCAGTCAGGAGGGAGGATGGACCCCGCTTTGGGGCAGCTGGGTCTGGACAGGACTGGAAGGGTAACGATGATGATGGTGAGATGGCGTATTTACTGACCACTCACTGTATGCTGGGCACTATTCTAAGTTTCTCAGAGCTGGAATCCCCTCCGCCCACTATTGTAACTTGCATACTTCCTGCCATGGGGAGCTCATTACCTTCTGAGGCCTTTAAGTGTACTTTGCTGTGCTTCAGTTTCTATTCAAGCTTCTCGTTCTGGCCCATAGACCCACACAATGTGCTTACCTGTCTCTTCCCCTTACTGAGTGGGATCCAGCCACGCTGGCCTCCCTGCTGTGGCTCAGGCTCCCGCGTGGGCATCCGCCCTCTCTGTGCCCTCTGTCTCAAATGACCCCTGCCCTTGAGGCTGTAGTGACAGCTTAAGGTTTTCGCATTAGCTCATCAGGTCCTTGTAACTGCCTGGTAAAGTGTAGGCACCAATCTTCATTTTACAGAGAGGGAAACTGAGGCACAGACTGCTCACGTCACATGCCCACAGGGACATAGCTAGTGAGCAAGGATCTGGGTTGCATGACTAAGCCCTAGCAGAGCCCTGCTCTGGCCACCTGGTGGTCCTAGCTGGTATCAGAGTCGCCATGTGTGCCTCCAGTCTCCCACCAAGAGGTCGGCCCAAAAGGCATTATGCTTCTGGGCTATGGGAAAAGAGCTAACGACCACAATCGAGATAATAACCAGGGCCTCTAATGCATACTTGGCACTGCTCTGAGCAAAATTCACACATATTAATTTACGTAATTCTCAAAATTAGTAGGCATCAGCATGTTGTCCCTATTTCACAGAGGAGAGAATTAAAGCACAGAAGAGTTAGGTAAATTCTCCAGTCAGCCAGCCAGTAAGCCCCAGAGCCAGGAGTTCAGCTGAGGCTGTCTGCCCAGAATCAGGGACCTCCCTCTGCACCCCGGTGTTGGGTGCTAACTCTGGTGTTGGGAACCTCCACCTCCATCTGCAGCTCAGCCTGGTCTTTGGGGTGGCAGCTCTACACACTCACCTACTCCCCGTGGGGGAGCTCTCCACTCCCAGGCCGCGTCTCTTCTTCCTGGTGGCCTAGATGAATGGGATGCTCTTTCTGCCCAGGCTGGCTCTGGCCTAGTACCATGTCCTGTGCTCGGAGAACAAGCCAGGGCCCCTCAGGCCCCTCATACCTCTGTGTAATGGACAGTGCCCTCCCTCCACTGCTGAGGTCGTCACCTGCCCAGGTACTCAGCCTCCACTTCCTTCTGCTTTTGGTCCTAAGAGTACTCCCTGTCCCTTCTCTGGTGACATGATTTTGGCACCCTCAACAGGGCTGAGAGCAGGCTTTCCCTGTTCTGATCCAGCCGTCTGGGAAGTGCTGCTTGCCTGCCTTCCTAGAAGTTTCCTTGCCTCACTGTCAGACATAGGCATCCTTTGTTCCTTGCAGCAGAACGTCCTGTTCCAGAATGGCCAAGCCATTCCATCCAGAAAGAATCCCTTCTGCTGCAGTGAATATGAATATGAATAACTGTCATCAGCCTGTAGGGTGGGTACTTTTGTCGTCCACAGTGGATGTGGTGGGGGACAGAGAAGGGGAGTTCCAGGCTCCTCTTGAGCGTCAGAGCCAAGAGGTGGTAGGTGCAGGATTCAAACTTAGGGGTCTGGCTCCCAGCCTGCTCTCATGACCCCTCTGCATTGAGGCTTTTTCTGACCTCCTTCCCTCTGTAGGCAGAGGCCCCCAGTATGGTTGGGCAGGTTGTGAACTGCACAACTCTAGGGAGCACCATTTCCATTGCAGTTTCTGAGACTGGACTGTTTGCGGTGTTGTCTGGCGGATGAGGGTTAGTGTCTCAAGGAAGGGACGCCTTCATACAGAAGTGCTGTATGCACCAGCCCTGACATTATAGCTGCTCTAGAGAGACACTGGACCCCTGTGTACCCTCTGCCCTACAGCTCAGCACAAATCATAGTGCTGCCCTGTCTGCAGCAGGACCCACCAGGAACCAGGCCCAACACTCAACTCCATGCAGGTGATAAGAGCTCATCATTCTTGAATAATTGCCACGTGCTAAGCAGGGCTCTAAACCGTTACTGGTTGCCTTGTACAATCCTCACAGTCCTCAGGAATAGGTCTTTTGTTCTCCCTTTGTCTGGGTAGAGAAACTGAGGCTCAGGGAGCTTGGTGACTTTCCTAGTTTGCCTGGTTGGTAAGTGGCAGAGCTTACTGCCTACAAGGGCTGCATCTTACCCACCGGGTTCCCACATCCCCCACTGTAGTCCCCAGGGCTCTCTGTTGGCTGCTGTTTGGGAGAATGTGGCATGCAGGGGTGAGGCAGGGGGTCTTCTGAGGGCTCAGTTCCCAGGGAAGTTCCTCTCAGGTGCCAGGACCCTGTGGCAGCAGGGAGGGAATTCAGGTGAGGACAGCATGTTGTCCAGCTTGGTTCTATCTCATCTGCCTGTCCTTCCCAGGGTGTCACCATGACCAGAGATCTGTGTGGCCCCACGTCACCACCTGTGGCCTTTGAGATGAGTCTTGGAAGGTGGGCAGGAATGCCAGAGTCTTCATTGGATGAATGAAGAAATTGAGGCCCAGAAAGGACCATTCAGGGCACCCAGTGGGGTGGGAACTGTCAAGGCAGGAGCCTGAGACTCTGTCCCCTGGGCTGTGTGACTTGGCCTCTTTAAACCCTTGCCATGGTCTTGCCAGTCCAATGGGGCTGGCTCATCCTGGTTCCCTGGCCAGTGAGATGCTGGGTGACCCCAGGGCTGCAGCCTGGGAGGCGTGGCACTCTGTGTCTGCAGCTTTCTGCTTACCCCTGCCCTGGGCCAGCTCCTCTGCTCAGAAGCTGTGTGCCCAGCTGCAGCTGGGGGCAGGTGTCCTGCCCAGGAGCACAGGTGTCAGCTTTGACTGCCAGGGCACATTTATCCCATTTCCTCACTGGCACAGGGCCCTGTGACACACACACCCATCCAGGCCTGTACAGGAGGCTGGGGGGCTCTGCTGACTGGGAGTCCAGGTCATCTGCCATTGCCAGGGCAGGGGGCTGTGTCAAGACCTCTGCTCCAGCCTCAGGGGCCCTGTCTTGTCAGTGACCTGGACCAGGCCCTCAGCACCCTGAGCTTCAGTTTCCTCCTCTGACAGGCAGGGCAGTTGGGCTTCACCTAGTCTGGAGATGTGCTGAAAGCACTGCCCTGTGCCTGGTGCCACCACCACTCTGTGATGTGAGTCGGAGTTCCTGTCTCCTCCTGCAGGCCCTCCTGCCACCCCCTGTGCCTTGTCCAGAGCATGTTCTGCTGGGTCCTTCTGCTCTTCCACCCACAGGGTCAGGGCGCCAGGGCATCACCAGCCCTTACCAATTGCTGGGTGGGAACTGCTGCTCTGGGCACCGCCTCTCGCTGGGTGGCCCTGGTCCACAAAGGGGTGTTGGGCCTCGTGTCCCTGTGTGTGTGTGTGTGCGTGAGTACATGGGGGCATGAATTTGTGCCTGTGTGTGTGTGTGTGTGAGTATGTGTGGGCACATATTCGTCCGTGTATGTTTGTGTGCCTGTATGTGTGGGCATGTATTTGTCCGTGTGTGTGTGCGTGCATGCTTTGGGACTGCTCCTTGACAGTGTCTGCCCCCCTAGGGCTGCTTGCTGTGCCCACTCTTGCATTGAAATCCACCTCCTCAGCACCTACCATATACCAGGCATTGGGCTGGTCATGGGAAGACCACCGGGAACCAAGACAAACATGTCCTTTGTCATGGAGCTGACAGTCTAGTGGGACAGACTGACAGTCATCAAAAAGTTGAAGATAATTTAAAATCAAAACAACAGCAAGAATGAGGAGAGAGAGGTGTGTAATGCCACAGGAGCCTAGAATTGGATGCAGTCCTGGAGGGATTTCCTAAGGAAGTGACATTCGAGCTGAGCTCTAAGGAATGGGTAGGAGAGAGCAAGGAGGGGGAGGGAAGAACATTCTAGAAAGAGGGAACAGTATGTGCAAATGGCCTGTGGCAAGAAGGACCAAGGAAAGGTCAATGCAGGTGGAGCACAGAGCGGGATAGTGTGTCGTGGGAGGGGTAGGTGGGGTGGGAGGGACCTGCTGCCAAGCCAGGGGTGGAGAGGGCCTCAAATCCCTGAGGTTGGTGGCAAGCAGTCCAGGCCCTCGATGCAGCTTGGGCTCTTGACTGTCACATGAGTGCCTGCTCCCAGGCCAGCAGGGCCAAGAAAGCGAAATGTCGGGAGCCACCTGAACTCCCAGATACACTTTGCAGGGTCAATCTTTATTTGGGCCTGCCTTAGAGGGCCCAGCTTCCAGCACAGCTGGTTTCAGGAGTGGGTGGACTCAAGTCTGAGGACCTCTCTCCCTGTGCTGCTTCCTCCTCCCAGGCCTCCGTTTCCCCTCCGGATGGGCGGTCCTGTACAGGCCTTCACAGATGCCCCTGTGGAGTTCTGGTCCAGTGGGGTAGATGAGGCCAGGGTGGTGAGAGGCAGCCAGCATCAGGGCCTGAGCGACTGAGTGCACCTGTGGCCTCAGAGACCCCTGCACACTGGGTGGGCTGTGGGAGGGAAGCCCTGGTCCCTGGTAGCATTGGGGTCCTTTCCTGTTGGGAGCTTTTACCAGCTGCTCTGGCAGTTCCCAACAGAGAATGCCCACTGTGCCAGCATGAGCCTTTACTGTAGTTCTTTCCATCTTGGAGGGGTGGCAGGGGCAGCTTGGCACAGTGGCTCACGCCTTTAATCCCAGCACTTTGGGAAGCTGAAGTAGCCTGATCGCTTGAGCCCAGGAGTTTGACACCAGCCTGGGCAACATAGGGAGGCCTGGTCTCTAAAAAAAAATACAAAAACTATCTGGGTGTGGTGGGCACACCTGTAATCCTAGCTACTCTGGAGGCTAAGGAGGATTGATTGAGCCCGGGAGGCTGCAGTGAGCTGTGATGGCGCCACTGCACTCCAGCCTGTCTCAAAAAAAGAAAAAAAAATGGTATTTTGAGAACTGGTATAGCCTTACCGACGTAGATGGGGGACCCTCCCCTAATCCTGTAGAGGCTGCAGGTCTGCGCAGCCACCCTTTGGGTGAGTGCCAGGTGCACGCCTTGCATCCCGGCAACTTCGTGGGGTCGGGGCAGGCAGGGGCAGGCAGGGCCAGGCCTCGCTGACCGCGCCATGTCCCGCAGGTTCTCGCGCTCTGACGAGCTGTCGCGGCACAGGCGCTCGCACTCAGGTGTGAAGCCGTACCAGTGTCCTGTGTGCGAGAAGAAGTTCGCGCGGAGCGACCACCTCTCCAAGCACATCAAGGTGCACCGCTTCCCGCGGAGCAGCCGCTCCGTGCGCTCCGTGAACTGAAAGCGCCCTGAACCCCAGCCTGTCCGTCACCCCGGATCCCCACCCCATCCCCATTTTTTTAAGCAATAATTTATTTGCCTCCTCCAGAGGGACATGGCAATGTTACCAGCCCACCTTCTGAAGCCTGGGAGGTGTGAACCCAGGGCCCGCCAACCGCTGCCTTTCTCGGGAGTACTTAGAGCCTCGAACCCGCGTCCCTGGGGGCTGGGCCCCAGGCGCACGGGGCTGGAGGCAGGCCTTCGTGCCTTCGTGCCTTCGTGCCTTCCCGCGGTGGCCAGGCCTCTGCTGCAGCCGCTGGTTGCAGGCAGAGTTTTGGGGACCTGGCCCTTCTCCCACTGGGCTCCCCCATCCTGGGCCAAGGCCAGAACTTTAGTGCTAGGGGAAGATGAAATGTGCAGTTTTGAAATGTTGGGTTTCCAGAGAGAGTCATGCTGGAGGAGAAGGAAGTAGGCCAGAAGTCCAGGGCTGCACTGTGGTGTGAGGGTGGCTTTGTCTAAGATGCCTGCTCAGCATGATCACCAGAGGGTGTGGGCAGGTCCCTGGAGCCGGGGGGGGGGGGGGGGGGGGGGGGGGGCAGGACCGGGCCGCTGGGCCCTCATGTGGGAGAGAGGTGAAAAGCGTCCCCCACTAGGGGGCTGGCAGTGCATGTGCTTGAGTTAAATGTGCAGGGCAGACAGAGCCAGAAGGGCCTGTACCCAGGGGCTCGTCCCCTCCTCCGGTTTCCCAGACAAATCCAGACACCAGCCTTTAGGGTGGCCTTGGGAGGAGAGGGCCAGGCTGTCCTGGGTGTGAGAGAACTAGATAGAGCCTCCCAACCCTGATTTAGAAATGCATTCCTTATTTTGTCTAGAAATTAATAAATGAACTAGCTTGTTTTGACAGGTTTATTTCACATCCTATGAATGTATGTAAATAAACTGTACATAGGTCCATCCACATAAAATATCTTTTAATAACATATCAACATTTGTGTAAATTTGAAATTTAAAAAAATCTATGAAGCTGGTGTACATATGTTACAATTACGTATATTTTCTTTGGTCCTTCATAAAAATATATTTACTTTGCCAATAAAAAGAAAAAGAACTCACAGCTTTTGGCATTCATGTGCTGTTTTCCTGCTTTGCCGGGATGTGGAGGTGACTCTGGGGCCGAGTCTATGTCTCCACCTTCGCAGAGTTCAGGGAACTCTGTTTTGTATTTGGAGGGATAGAAAGGCCCCTTGGGGTCCAGCCCCGGTCCAGCAGGGTAGGGTTCCCATACAGCTCAGCTCCAGGCCAGCTGCTGAGATTCTGCTCATCCCGGCTCCCTGACCTGGAGCTCCGTAAACCCAAATCCAGCCCACATTCCGACAGCACCTGTGGGAAGCTGCCTCAGGCCTGGCCAGTCCTGCGAGGCTCACCTACTCTGCTATCGGAGACCCTTTCTTGCACTTCCTACCCCCATCCAGTCCACCAAACCTATTACACATGCCCTATATGTTTGCTGTGCCTTGGCAGAGTATTTACCCCCTTAGGAACGTGGCTGTGCCATTTCCTACTGGCGTGGGTAATTGTGAAAGTGTTAGGAATCCTGAGCAGGCAGAGGTGAGACTCGGAGAGGCCAGTATATGCAGTTACGTCCTGTCCTCCATCGTCCCTAACTCCCCAACATGCCTGGGGTCTTCGCTGTGTGGTTGCACAGTTGAGGTTGGACCCATCCACACGTCCTGTGCTGGCTGGAGCCTGGGGGAAGTGGGGGCCCAAGCACAAGGAGGGGCTATGAGCCCCACAGGGAATGGCAAGGAAATGGAGGCTGACCAGGGCCTGCTTCAGTGGCTCAGCTGGTATGAAGCACACACACACAGAGAGGGCTGCCCTGGTTCACCCAGTCATGTGCAGTGGGAAGCAAGAACCTTCTAGAAGGATCCTTTGCTTTATAAGAACTGGATGCAAGTCGGGTCAAGTGTTTCTCGGTGAAAACCTTGGAGATCTGGAGGCTGGGGGTAGGGCACCCATGGGCTCCCAGCAGAGAGATGTCTGAATGTGGGGGTCTGTGTGAGGTCGTGCATCTCAGAGGGCAGAGGCCGTTGTTCTCACCAGCCGCCCAGCACACAGCACAGCTGATAGGAGGATGGACATCCTATCCTGACTGGCCATGGTCCCGAGGAGGAGGCTGGGCCTAGTGACCTCTGTCCTTTGCCCCTGACCGGATGTACCCTCTGTGGGCAAACACACTCTAGGGAAGCAAGGCATTGATTTCCAGCCTTGTTAACATGGGCTTTCTTCATCCATAAACAAGCAGTTCAGCCCTAGATAAGAGGTACGTCAGAGGGACAGGGAGGATTGTTGTCTGGTCAGGATGATGACATGGGACGTGGAATAACCTCGGGAGCATATGCACCTTCTGTGCCAAGGACCGGCCGGACACGCTGCTCACCTCCCCTGGGTGTGTGTCCCAACATCCTGCTGTTGTCTTGTGGCAGGGAGTGTGTGTAAGGGGTGGTCTTAGTGGTCTCCTCAGTCTGGGCTTCCAGGCTTGCACCTGAATTGTGTGTACGTGCACACATATGGTGCACCTCCCCGGGATGAGTGTGCCTCCTGGAGGTCTTGGCTGAGTCGTGGAGAGTACAGCACAGTGCAGGGAACAGGGATAATGGGGCCGCACTGCCTGTTGATCCTGGGCTCCAGCTCTTTATGTGTGTCCTAGACCTCTCTAGATTTCAGCTCCTTCGCCCTGCAGAGCAGTGTGAAAGGCCCCGGGCAACAGCGTGGTGGCACGTGGTAAGTGACTCTGGATGCAGAGCCCAGGATGCAGAGCCCAGCTGTGTGGCACCCCCAGGTTCCTGCTGCAGCCCCAATGTCAGCATTGCCTTGGCCCTGGTGGGGGTTGAGAGTCTGTTACAGTGCCTGGCCTGGCTCCTGCCTCAGAGACCCCCATGCCACCACCTTTCTGACCGTCTGTGATTTCTGTGGCTGGAAGGGGAGTGCTGTGTTGACCTGCAAGCTGAAAAAGCAGGTGGAGATGGGCCCTGGACTCACCACGGTGAGGAATAGAGGTGGAAGCTGGAAGGCTGCAGAGCAGGAACTCCAGCCATAATGGTGCCACCCACCCGCCTGCCCCTAAGGCACACAGAGAGGAAGGAAGTACCATCTACTGATCACTGTACTAGGTAGAGTATGAGTTAGGCTACTATAACAAAGAAATCCCCAAACTTTGTGGCTTAAACAACATAGCAGTTTATTTTCCTCTGCTTAGATGGTCTCAGAGGGAGCAGCCTGGGCTGGCACAGCAGACTGAGTACAGGGCACCCAGCCTCCTTCGCTCTTGTTGCTCCTCCAATGCCCCTTGGCTCCACAGGACTGGGCCAGCTGGGAGAAGCAGGCAAGGGGCCATGTTTCTGCCCTGCCCTCCTGGGATTTGCACACTCACTTCCACTCCCATTCTGTTGGCCGGAACTCAGTAACTCAGCCTCATCCACTGCCAGGGAGGCTGGAAAATGCAGTCGTCATCTGGGCAGCATGAGCACAGCTGGAATGTGGGGCACATGTTGCAGGAGAAGGCAAGGAGGTAGGAGCAGAGGGCAGCCAGGAGTTTCCATTGTAAGCACATTGTTTTGTCCCAGCTGTGCCCACAGTGGGTCCCCCTTCCCACGAGCTGGCAGCATGGCTAAGTCTGGTGGTGCCAGGTGAGTTCAGCTCCCCATGGCCTCGTCCACATTCTCAGAAAGGGCATCACTGATAAGTGTGGGATCAGCAGCCAGACTTCTGGGGCAGCAGATTATTAAGAAGGGAAACTCTGTGGGAACAGAGGAGCCAAAAGGCCCTACGTAGGAGCCAAGATGCCTTGGTTGGGAAACCAAGGCTGCAAATGACAATCTTGACTCCTGCAGACAGCAAACCCTTGCAATGCCATCACTGTCTGTTCGTGAATAGGGTCCAGAGTCTATGTGGGGCCGTGAGAGCCGGGAGGTGGAGAGGGGACATAGGCAGAAAGCCTCAGGACCAGGGCTTCCAGGAAAATTGTCATTTTCCTTGTGTTTTATTGGTTCAGGCTATCCAAGGCCTGGCAGGGGAACCTGTGAGGAATGAACATGTCAACCTGCACAGTGAAGGCATGAGGAGGCGATCTGAACCCACAAGAGAGGGCTGAGAGTGGGGGCCATGTCTGAGTAGGTCCCACTTCATTTGGTGATGAACAGAGATGAAAATGGGGCTTGTTCAAAAGATGCAGAATGAGGCAAAGAGAGCAGCATTCAAACACTCCTGGAAAGTGCACATCTCGATGTGCCCTGGGGGGCCGGGAGGGCACGAGAAACGCCCTGCTGTTTTCAATAAGGAAGAAATAGAGAGCCCAGGCTGTAGTGGGAGGGCACCAGGACCAGGTAAAAAGAGAGCTGGAAGGGATAGCGGGGGATTGCAAGAAAACAAAAGATGCAGGGCAGAGTTAAAATCCACATGGGAGAACGTCAGGAGTGGGCATGAGGACAGGGAACTCCCAGCACTGCTGCAGAAGACAAATGATGACAGCTCGGGCTCTGGCTCGGCTCCCATTCTGTGAGGTCCTGCTCTGTGCCCCAAACAGCCGGGCCCGTCAGGAAGGGACACCAAGGACCCCAAAGGAGCCCCTCCTGGAGGTCTGGACCTGGAGATGAGTGACCAGTCCCCCACTGTCAGCCTCCCTTGGCCCTGCTGCTCCACCCTGCTCTCCAAGCCATCCTGGCGCACGGACATATCCACACCCAGCACTGATAGAGATCGCAGCCGGTCCCCAGGCTGTTCTCAGAACCCAGCCGGGACGTTCCCTGCTGTTTCCATCCTCTGGGTTCTGTGAATTTGGCCTCAACCCTGAGCTGAGCTGACACTGAAAGACAGCAAGAGCAGTGTCTGTAGCAGGCGGCTCCATCACGAGAGTGAGGCGCAAGGCTACGACAGAGCCAGCTGAGGGAGGCCAGGGAAGGGAGTGCGCAGCAGGTGCTGGGAGCTGGAAATACCTGATGAGAAGAGTGAAAATACATTTCTGCAGAAATACGTCTAAATCATTGCAAATGTGTTTAAAACCTAAGTGCAAATGTCAAATATTGATAGAGAAAGAGAAGAAATTTGCGATGTGAAAGTAATAAGACATTACTAGTCTGGCTGTAAATCCCCCATGATATGAACAGACAGGGAAATTGTGTGAAGGATTGAAGTGTGGCTCTCAGGGTCTCCTCCTTCCCACAGAAGTCTTTGCATTACGCATGAAATGAAGAAAAGACATTGATGTCATTTCTGTAGGGTTAATTGGTGAGTTGTTGAACAGCTATCCCCAGAGGGCTCTGTTTAAATGCACGAACGTCACCTTGACAGAGGAAAGAAGGACACCTGTCTGTTTCCACAGCAAAGTGGCAGTGCTCTTCTCTCCCTGAATCCCTGGACAAGGCGTGGACGGTCATGCTGACGTGGCACTGCTGGGAGGACAGCTGGACCACTGCCCATCAGAGGACACCCTGGTGCCACACAGGAGTCCTGGTTCCCACCTTGGGCTGGTTGGCAAAGCCCCTCCCTGTCCTCTCCCAGCCTTCCCAAGCTGGTGGCCTTACTACAAATCTGGGCTCACAGCTGGGATTCCATCCACATCCTGGCAGAGGATGCCCTGCACAAAGCTACCAAGGTGCAGTGGGTTCAGTCTTCCGGATGCCCGAGTCTCTTTGCCAATCTCTCACGCTGGCAAAATGCTTTCCAGATGGTCATGAGGAGCCACAGCGGCTGGAGTGCACTACACTGGGCATCCTATTTAAACTGTACACCAACACCGCCTTCTCTACAAGGCACCCAGGGACTTGCTTTTTGCACCTTCTCCCGCCTTGAAAGCACCTTCATCTTCCTCCTGGAACTTCAAATTCCCCATCTGTTTAAACAAACAGAAGAATTTAGAGCCAGACTCCCCATAAGGGATGATAATAATAGTACCTTCCTCATAGGGTCATTGTGTGGACTAAATGAGTTAAAATATGCAACACACTTAGAATAGCATCTGGCAGAGAGCAACAGCTGTAGTTGTTGGTGGCAATTGTATTATTATCCATTGTTACTTGAGTATATCCTTAATATCCACCCTTCACCCCAGGAAACTTAATAAGACATTTCTTCTCAACGAATACAGCACTCTTCCCACTAGACTTTTTTTTTAATTATACTTTAAGTTTTAGGGTACATGTGCACATTGTGCAGGTTAGTTACATATGTATACATGTGCCATGCTGGTGCGCTGCACCCACTAACTCATCATCTAGCATTAGGTATATCTCCCAATGCTATCCCTCCCCCCTCCCCCCACCCCACAACAGTCCCCAGAGTGTGATATTCCCCTTCCTGTGTCCATGTGATCTCATTGTTCAATTCCCACCTATGAGTGAGAATATGCGGTGTTTGGTTTTTTGTTCTTGCGATAGTTTACTGAGAATGATGATTTCCAATTTCATCCATGTCCCTGCAAAGGACACGAACTCATCATTTTTTATGGCTGCATAGTATTCCATGGTGTATATGTGCCACATTTTCTTAATCCAGTCTATCATTGTTGGACATTTGGGTTGGTTCCAAGTCTTTGCTATTGTGAATAGTGCCACAATAAACATACGTGTGCATGTGTCTTTATAGCAGCATGATTTATACTCATTTGGGTATATACCCAGTAATGGGATGGCTGGGTCAAATGGTATTTCTAGTTCTAGATCCCTGAGGAATCGCCACACTGACTTCCACAATGGTTGAACTAGTTTACAGTCCCACCAACAGTGTAAAAGTGTTCCTATTTCTCCACATCCTCTCCAGCACCTGTTGTTTCTTGACTTTTTAATGATTGCCATTCTAACTGGTGTGAGATGGTATCTCATAGTGGTTTTGATTTGCATTTCTCTGATGGCCAGTGATGATGAGCATTTTTTCATGTGTTTTTTGGCTGCATAAATGTCTTCTTTTGAGAAGTGTCTGTTCATGTCCTTCGCCCACTTTTTGATGGGGTTGTTTGTTTTTTTCTTGTAAATTTGTTTGAGTTCATTGTAGATTCTGGATATTAGCCCTTTGTCAGATGAGTAGGTTGCGAAAATTTTCTCCCATTTTGTAGGTTGCCTGTTCACTCTGATGGTAGTTTCTTTTGCTGTGCAGAAGCTCTTTAGTTTAATTAGATCCCATTTGTCAATTTTGGCTTTTGTTGCCATTGCTTTTTGTGTTTTGGACATGAAGTCCTTGCCCATGCCTATGTTCTGAATGGTAATGCCTAGGTTTTCTTCTAGGGTTTTTATGGTTTTAGGTCTAACGTTTAAATCTTTAATCCATCTTGAATTGATTTTTGTATAAGGTGTAAGGAAGGGATCCAGTTTCAGCTTTCTACATATGGCTAGCCAGTTTTCCCAGCACCATTTATTAAATAGGGAATCCTTTCCCCATTGCTTGTTTTTCTCAGGTTTGTCAAAGATCAGATAGTTGTAGATATGCAGTGTTATTTCTGAGGGCTCTGTTCTGTTCCATTGATCTATATCTCTGTTTTGGTACCAGTACCATGCTGTTTTGGTTACTGTAGCCTTGTAGTATAGTTTGAAGTCAGGTAGTGTGATGCCTCCAGCTTTGTTCTTTTGGCTTAGGATTGACTTGGCGATGCGGGCTCTTTTTTGGTTCCATATGAACTTTAAAGTAGTTTTTTCCAATTCTGTGAAGAAAGTCATTGGTAGCTTGATGGGGATGGCATTGAATCTGTAAATTACCTTGGGCAGTATGGCCATTTTCACGATATTGATTCTTCCTGCCCATGAGCATGGAATGTTCTTTCATTTGTTTGTATCCTCTTTTATTTCCTTGAGCAGTGGTTTGTAGTTCTCCTTGAAGAGGTCCTTCACATCCCTTGTAAGTTGGATTCCTAGGTATTTTATTCTCTTTGAAGCAATTGTGAATGGGAGTTCACTCATGATTTGGCTCTCTGTTTGTCTGTTGTTGGTGTATAAGAATGCTTGTGATTTTTGTACATTGATTTTGTATCCTGAGACTTTGCTGAAGTTGCTTATCAGCTTAAGGAGATTTTGGGCTGAGACGATGGGGTTTTCTAGATATACAATCATGTCATCTGCAAACAGGGACAATTTGACTTCCTCTTTTCCTAATTGAATACCCTTTATTTCCTTCTCCTGCCTCATTGCCCTGGCCAGAACTTCCAACACTATGTTGAATAGGAGTGGTGAGAGAGGGCATCCCTGTCTTGTGCCAGTTTTCAATGGGAATGCTTCCAGTTTTTGCCCATTCAGTATGATATTGGCTGTGGGTTTGTCATAGATAGCTCTTATTATTTTGAAATACATCCCATCAATACCTAATTTATTGAGAGTTTTTAGCATGAAGGGTTGTTGAATTTTGTCAAAGGCTTTTTCTGCATCTATTGAGATAATCATGTGGTTTTTGTCTTTGGCTCTGTTTATATGCTGGATTACATTTATTGATTTGCATATGTTGAACCAGCCTTGCATCCCAGGGATGAAGCCCACTTGATCATGGTGGATAAGCTTTTTGATGTGCTGCTGGATTCGTTTTGCCAGTATTTTATTGAGGATTTTTGCATCAATGTTCATCAAGGATATTGGTCTAAAATTCTCTTTTTTGGTTGTGTCTCTGCCCGGCTTTGGTATCAGAATGATGCTGGCCTCATAAAATGAGTTAGGGAGGATTCCCTCTTTTTCTATTGATTGGAATAGTTTCAGAAGGAATGGTACCAGTTCCTCCTTGTACCTCTGGTATAATTCAGCTGTGAATCCATCTGGTCCTGGACTCTTTTTGGTTGGTAAACTATTGATTATTGCCACAATTTCAGCTCCTGTTATTGGTCTATTCAGAGATTCAACTTCTTCCTGGTTTAGTCTTGGGAGAGTGTATGTGTCGAGGAATGTATCCATTTCTTCTAGATTTTCTAGTTTATTTGCGTAGAGGTGTTTGTAGTATTCTCTGATGGTAGTTTGTATTTCTGTGGGATCGGTGGTGATATCCCCTTTATCATTTTTTATTGTGTCTATTTGATTCTTCTCTCTTTTTTTCTTTATTAGTCTTGCTAGTGGTCTATCAATTTTGTTGATCCTTTCAAAAAACCAGCTCCTGGATTCATTGATTTTTTGAAGGGTTTTTTGTGTCTCTATTTCCTTCAGTTCTGCTCTGATTTTAGTTATTTCTTGCCTTCTGCTAGCTTTTGAATGTGTTTGCTCTTGCTTTTCTAGTTCTTTTAATTGTGATGTTAGGGTGTCAATTTTGGATGTTTCCTGCTTTCTCTTGTGGGCATTTAGTGCTATAAATTTCCCTCTACACACTGCTTTGAATGCATCCCAGAGATTCTGGTATGTTGTGTCTTTGTTCTCGTTGGTTTCAAAGAACATCTTTATTTCTGCCTTCATTTCGTTATGTACCCAGTAGTCATTCAGGAGCAGGTTGTTCAGTTTCCATGTAGTTGAGCGGCTTTGAGTGAGATTCTTAATCCTGAGTTCTAGTTTGATCGCACTGTGGTCTGAGAGATAGTTTGTTATAATTTCTGTTCTTTTACATTTGCTGAGGAGAGCTTTGCTTCCAACTATGTGGTCAATTTTGGAATAGGTGTGGTGTGGTGCTGAAAAAAATGTATATTGTGTTGATTTGGGGTGGAGAGTTCTGTAGATGTCTATTAGGTCCACTTGGTGCAGAGCTGAGTTCAATTCCTGGGTATCCCTGTTGACTTTCTGTCTCGTTGATCTGTCCAATGTTGACAGTGGGGTGTTAAAGTCTCCCATTATTAATGTGTGGGAGTCTAAGTCTCTTTGTAGGTCACTCAGGACTTGCTTTATGAATCTGGGTGCTCCTGTATTGGGTGCATATATATTTAGGATAGTTAGCTCTTCTTGTTGAATTGATCCCTTTACCATTATGTAATGGCCTTCTTTGTCTCTTTTGATCTTTGTTGGTTTAAAGTCTGTTTTATCAGAGACTAGGATTGCAACCCCTGCCGTTTTTTGTTTTCCATTTGCTTGGTAGATCTTCCTCCATCCTTTTATTTTGAGCCTATGTGTGTCTCTGCACGTGAGATGGGTTTCCTTAATACAGCACACTGATGGGTCTTGACTCTTTATCCAGTTTGCCAGTCTGTGTCTTTTAATTGGAGAATTTAGTCCATTTACATTTAAAGTTAATATTGTTATGTGTGAATTTGATCCTGTCATTATGATGTTAGCTGGTTATTTTGCTCGTTAGTTGATGCAGTTTCTTCCTAGTCTCGATGGTCTTTACATTTTGGCATGATTTTGCAGCGGCTGGTACTGGTTGTTCCTTTCCATGTTTAGTGCTTCCTTCAGGAGCTCTTTTAGGGCAGGCCTAGTGGTGACAAAATCTCTCAGCATTTGCTTGTCTGTGAAGTATTTTATTTCTCCTTCACTTATGAAGCTTAGTTTGGCTGGATATGAAATTCTGGGTTGAAAATTCTTTTCTTTAAGAATGTTGAATATTGGCCCCCACTCTCTTCTGGCTTGTAGGGTTTCTGCCGAGAGATCTGCTGTTAGTCTGATGGGCTTCCCTTTGAGGGTAACCCGACCTTTCTCTCTGGCTGCCCTTAACATTTTTTCCTTCATTTCAACTTTGGTGAATCTGACAATTATGTGTCTTGGAGTTGCTCTTCTTGAGGAGTATCTTTGTGGCGTTCTCTGTATTTCCTGAATCTGAACGTTGGCCTGCCTTGCTAGATTGGGGAAGTTCTCTTGGATAATATCCTGCAGAGTGTTTTCCAACTTGGTTCCATTCTCCCCATCACTTTCAGGTACACCAATCAGATGTAGATTTGGTCTTTTCACATAGTCCCATATTTCTTGGAGGCTTTGCTCATTTCTTTTTATTCTTTTTTCTCTAAACTTCCCTTCTTGCTTCATTTCATTCATTTCATCTTCCATTGCTGATACCCTTTCTTCCAGTTGATCGCATCGGCTCCTGAGGCTTCTGCATTCTTCACGTAGTTCTCGAGCCTTGGTTTTCAGCTCCATCAGCTCCTTTAAGCACTTCTCTGTATTGGTTATTCTAGTTATACATTCTTCTAAATTTTTTTCAAAGTTTTCAACTTCTTTGCCTTTGGTTTGAATGTCCTCCTGTAGCTCAGAGTAATTTGATCGTCTGAAGCCTTCTTCTCTCAGCTCGTCAAAGTCATTCTCCATCCAGCTTTGTTCCGTTGCTGGTGAGGAACTGCGTTCCTTTGGAGGAGGAGAGGCACTCTACGTTTTAGAGTTTCCAGTTTTTCTGTTCTGTTTTTTCCCCATCTTTGTGGTTTTATCTACTTTTGGTCTTTGATGATGGTGATGTACAGATGGGTTTTCGGTGTGGATGTCCTTTCTGTTTGTTAGTTTTCCTTCTAACAGACAGGACCCTCAGCTGCAGGTCTGTTGGAATACCCTGCAGTGTGAGGTGTCAGTGTGCCCCTGCTGGGGGGTGCCTCCCAGTTAGGCTGCTCGGGGGTCAGGGGTCCGGGACCCACTTGAGAAGGCAGTCTGCTGGTTCTCAGATCTCCAGCTGAGTGCTGGGAGAACCACTGCTCTCTTCAAAGCTGTCAGACAGGGACACTTAAGTCTGCAGAGGTTACTGCTGTCTTTTTGTTTGTCTGTGCCCTGCCCCCAGCGGTGGCGCCTACAGAGACAGGCAGGCCTCCTTGAGCTGTGGTGGGCTCCACCCAGTTCGAGCTTCCTGGCTGCTTTGTTTACCTAAGCAAGCCTGGGCAATGGCGGGCGCCCCTCCCCCAGCCTCGCTGGCGCCTTGCAGTTTGATCTCAGACTGCTGTGCTAGCAGTCAGTGAGATTCCGTGGGCGTAGGACCCTCCGAGCCAGGTGTGGGATATAATCTCATGGTTCACCCGATTTTCCAGGTGCATCCGTCACCCCTTTCTTTGACTCGGAAAGGGAACTCCCTGACCCCTTGCGCTTCCCAAGTGAGGCAATGCCTCGCCCTGCTTCGGCTTGCACACAGTGCATGCACCCACTGGCCTGCGCCCACTGTCTGGCACTCCCTAGTGAGATAAACCCGGTACCTCAGATGGAAATGCAGAAATCACCCGTCTTCTGCGTCGCTCACGCTGGGAGCTGTAGACCGGAGCTGTTCCTATTCGGCCATCTTGGCTCCTCCCCCCCACTAGACATTTTATTAAATCAAATGCTTTCTAGCATCTGTGCCTTAACATATTACTTGCAAGTAGGTTTTTGGAGGGTGAACACATTCCCTTACAAAAGGGTTGCAGGGCTCAGTTGAAGTTGCATCTTCTCAGGGTTCATTCACAGGTCATTAAATACTCAACCGTGGGAAGAACTGAAAGCTGATGTGTTCAAGACACTTCTAATTGCATATCAAGCAATAAACCAGATAAACCCAATCTGAAATTGTAGTGGTTTTACAAGGCTGTGCACATTTCCTGGGTTTGGTTTGTATTCCCAGAGAGGAAGCTAATCACTGGAGTGCTCTGTTCAATACCAGATGCCTGCGACTTATACCTAGGTCTCTGTCCTCTTATGCCATCACTCCTAAGACCTCCACAGAAGGGCAGGCCCTGCATCCAGAAGAGGGGCTCATGATGGGGGCTGGTGACTCTCTAGTTTGTGACCAGGGAGTTGAGTGTGAGGGGCATCTTATGTGCCTGATGTTTTCCTTCCCCACTACCCTGCCTCTGTGCTGCCCTCAGACTCCTGAGGATAGGGGCAGATTGCATCCTCAAGCCCCATTCATGTCAGTTCACTTCCAGCTTCTGCTGCCTGGGTACCCATGAGGCTCCCCCATCCTCTGCTGCCCTTATGAGAGGGATTCTGGACAAATTTGTCATATCCAGAGAGATGTTCTCATTCTTTCAGAGACACTGGAGACATAGACATTCTCAGGCTTCTGGAGACACTGGTTATTCACATGACAAAAGAGAAAAGATAGAGCTTTTCCTAACATCGTCACATCATGCACAGAAAATTCACTCCAGGTAGGTTAAAGAAGCAACCATAAACACACAATGCTAAAAGTACAAGAAATAATGAGACACAGGGAAGAGCACTGTATTCATCAAGAAGAAATGTCTTGTTAAGTCTCTCAAGGCAAAGGGTGAATAGGACACACTTATATTCACAAATAGCAGCATGCACCCAGAAGACCCACAAAAACAAACACAACTTATTATTTGCAAAGTCCTTGCCAATGTAATATGACAAGAAAAAAAAAAGACTGAAAGGATAGGAAAGGAAGGGACAAGATGACTTTTATCGCATATGATGTAATTATCTGTCCGGAAGGGCCGAAAATGATCAATTGAAAATCTGCCAGAATTAATAAAACTGTTCAATCAATGGCCAGACACAAGATAAACCCACAGAAATACATGGACTGATTGCATGTCAATGTTTCAGTCAGCAATTACTGTGTAATTGACAGCCCACCTCAAAGCTCAGTGCTCTGAAACAGTCCTGATTTAGTACTAGAGCTATGATCCTGTGGGTTGGCTGGGAGTCTGCTGACCTGAGTTAATCTTGCTCCTGTGTCTGTGGGGAACGAGGGATTCTGCTGTGACTCAGGCTGGGCTGGCTGGGGCTCTGCTCCATGTTGCTCACATTTCGCCTTGGGCCAGCAGGCCAGCTGGGGTATAGCCCATGGCTGCAAGATAGCAAGGCCCACCTTGCAAGCTCATTTCAGACCTCGGCTTGCATCCTGTCTGCTCTGACCCACTGGGCAGAACAAGTCATACGGCCAAGCCCAGTGAGAACATACAGCAGAGGGTGTGGATGAATGAGGGGCCATCACTGAGGGCACTAACACAATCAAAATCAACTAAAAACTGCAACAGTAAGTAGAGTTCATAACTTTTATGACAGGAAGAAAAATCACAAGCAACATGGCAGGAAATTGGTAAAAAAAAAAAAAAAGTGTAATAATATGCTGAAACTTTAATGGAAAACATAAAGAAGACCTAACTGGAATTGCTTACCTTTTTTTTTTTTTTTTCTGTATGGGGAGACTCAGTATTGTAAAGATCCCAATTTCTGTCATATTGATCTATAATTCATTGCAATTCCAGTACAAATCCAAAGAGGATTTTAAAAAATGGGACTTGATTCCAAAATTTATCTGGAGGAGAAAATGTATAAGATGCAACCCAATATGACACGACAATGGTGGTAGAGGTGGGGAGATTGCCTGACAAATTACTGAAACATCCTATAGAGGTTTAAATTGTTTGGTTTTGTTTTATTATTTAATTTATTTTATTAATTCTATTTGAGACAGGTTCTTGCTCTGCTGCCCAGGCTGGAGTGCAGAGATGGGATCATAGCTCACTGCAGCTTCAAACTCCCAGGCTCAAGCGATTTGCCACACCTCAGCTTCCTGAGTAGCTGGGACTCCAGGCACACACCACCACACCCAGCTGAGGTTAAACATTTTTTTAATGTGGTGTTATAACAGATAAAGGCAAAGAAGACATGAGGCAACATACAGATTCTAGAAAATAACTCAAGTACATATGGCTATTTAATATAAGTTATCAATACAAGGTTACTTATATGATAAGAGAGGAAAGATGGAGGTTCTTCTCACACCATACACAGAAAATCCACTCCAAGTGGGTAAAAGAGCCAACCACAAACACACAATTATAAAGGTACAAGAAATAGCAAGATGCAGGTGCCATTATGGAAAAGATAGACATGCTTGACACTACCATTTAAACTCCTGTTTAAGAACAGACACCCTATGAGTGAAGTTAGAAGATAAATATGAGACATGGATAGAAATATATGAGTCAACAATCCGAATATATCTGGAATGCACAAAACTGTTCTACAAATTAGTGAGTAAAACATAAAAATCCCAATAGAAAAATGGGCAATAGATATAAACTAGCAACTTACAGTAAAAGACATGCAAATGGCAAGTAGGCACATGAGAAGATATCTAACTTTGTAAATATGCAGAAAAATGAAATAAAAAAACAATATATCCTGTGGAGGTTGACTACATTGCAAAAATGTAAAAGATTATATCCAAGCATGGGGGAAAGAGTTACTCTCATTACTGTTGATTGTAGTACAATTTTTTTTTGGAGGATAATTTGGCAAACTTCATCAAAACTTAATCATTCTTTTGGCCATAATAAAAAAATCAAAAAACAGTAGATGTTGGCTTGGATGTGGTGAACAGGGAACACTTCTACGCTGCTGGTGGGAATGTAAACTAGTACAGCCACTATGGAAATCAGTGTGGAGATTCCTTAAAGAACTAAAAGTGGAACAACCATTTGATCCAGCAATGCCACTACTAGGTATCTACCCAGAGGAAAAGAAGTCATTATTTGAAAAAGATACTGGCCCACGCATGTTTATAGCAGCACAATTCACAATTGCAAATTGTAGAACCAACCCAAAAGCCCATCAGTCAACGAGTGGATAAAGAAACTGTGGTATATATATATATGATGGAATACTACTCAGCCATAAAAAGGAATGAATTAACAGCATTTGCAGTGACCTAAATGAGATTGGAGACTATTATTCTAAGTGAAGTAACTCAGGAATGGAAAACCAAACATCATATGTTCTCACTGATATGTGAGAGCTAAGCTATGAGGATACAAAGGCATAAGAATGATACAATGGACTTTGGGGACTTGGGGGGAAGAGTAAGAGGGGGGCAAGGTATAAAAGATTACAGATATGGTGCAGGGTATACTGGTCGGGTGATGGGTGCACCAAAATCTCACAAATCACCACTAAAGAACTTACACATGCAACCAAATACCACCTGTACCCCAATAACTTATGGAAAAAGACTGCAATCTTTCTTTGACCTAGCAAACCCATCATATTAAAAATCCACATATAAAAGTATATATACAAGTCTGTTCTTTTAGCATTATGACAGCAAACATTTGTGAACAATCTAAACATTTTCCAATGAAGAATCGAGTAGATAAATTATGGTAACCAGAAACTAGCTCTTTCATTTGGCAATGAAATGGTCAAACTCGCATAAAATTTACATTATGTAAACATGACATGCAGGCTTCAGTTTCTGGAATCATCCTATGTATGAAGTCTGGAATGCAGGTGTCAGCATCCTTGACAACAATGCCCCCAGCAGCACAGGAGATGGGGAGGCTGGGGGAAGACTGCAGACCTCAACAGCAAGGCGGGTCAAAATCCTAAGTGTCTTCTGCTTTGTCCTGAAAATACACCTGGAGTTTGACCCTGCTCCTCACCCACTGTGGCCCACAGCACCCATGATCTCTTGCCTAGACTACTGCAGAATCATCCACAGACATCCCAACCTGGCCTCACCCCTTCCAGCTCCCTGAGGGACAGCAGCCAGAAGGGCCCAGTTAAAGTCGGTCTGATCATGTCCTGCCTCTGTTCAGGAGCTTCCTGGGGGCTCCCTGTTTGCCTCGGAGGAAAAGTGAAAACCTCTATGAGGTCCCACAGGAGTCTGCCCCACGCTTCCCACCCAGACCTCACTGCCTGCTATACTTCTCACTTAGCTCCAGCCCCACTCCATCCCAGAAGTGTCAAGGGCACAAAAGACAAAGAAAGACTAAGGAGCTGTTGCAGAGTGGAGGAGACCATGAGATGTGACCACAGAATGCAGTGAAGAATCCTGAACGATGTCCTAGGACCGGCAAGGCACCTCTGTGGAAAAACTGGAGAAAGCCCGTTCAAGCCTGGAGTTGAGCCAGCAGTCCTGCACCCATCTTCATTTCCTAGTTTTGATGAATGTACCCTGGCTATGTGATGTGTCGGGGAGGCTAGGGAGGGGTATTCAAGAATGTTTGCACTATCCGCAATGCTTGTAAATCTAAAATTTGAAAATTAAAAATTTATTTATTAATTATAGTTAAATCAACTATAAGTTATTCAATCAATATTAATCGACTTAATTAAAATTATTAAAATAATTTAAAATTAAACTCTAGTTAATAATTAATTGATTTAAACTAATAACTTAAAATTTTTGAGGTAAATACAACAACAGTTAAAAACAAACAAAAGCCACCTCTGCCAGCACTCCTCAGCTCTCTCCCCAGCTTTGCTTCTCTCCCTAGCCCTTCCTGCCTCCTAGGCACAGCCTAAAGCACAGATTCGTTCAGGGTGTGCGATCTGTCTTTCTGCACTCCAACGTGCTCCATGAGGGCAGGTTCTGCCTGTTTTATAAACAGTGCTGTAAACCCAGCAGCTACAACCTGTATCATCATATTCATCTATAAATTCTAGTTTCTGGGCACCACAATTTATTTTCCCAATTCTCCTTCAATATATTTTTGTTCTCAAACATTTGCTGTTATAAATTATGCCATAAAGAACAGGCTTATACTGCCCAAGGTAATTTACAGATTCAATGCCATCCCCATCAAGCTACCAATGACTTTCTTCACAGAATTGGAAAAAACTACTTTAAAGTTCATATGGAACCAAAAAAGAGCCCGCATTGCCAAGTCAATCCTAAGCCAAAAGAACAAAGCTGGAGGCATCACACTACCTGACTTCAAACTATACTACAAGGCTACAGTAACCAAAACAGCATGGTACTGGTACCAAAACAGAGATATAGATCAATGGAACAGAACAGAGCCCTCAGAAATAATGCCGCATATCTACAACTATCTGATCTTTGACAAACCTGAGAAAAACAAGCAATGGGGAAAGGATTCCCTATTTAATAAATGGTGCTGGGAAAACTGGCTAGCCATATGTAGAAAGCTGAAACTGGATCCCTTCCTTACACCTTATACAAAAATCAATTCAAGATGGATTAAAGATTTAAACGTTAAACCTAAAACCATAAAAACCCTGGAAGAAAACCTAGGCATTACCATTCAGGACATAGGCGTGGGCAAGGACTTCATGTCCAAAACACCAAAAGCAATGGCAACAAAAGACAAAATTGACAAATGGGATCTAATTAAACTAAAGAGCTTCTGCACAGCAAAAGAAACTACCATCAGAGTGAACAGGCAACCTACAAAATGGGAGAAAATTTTCGCAACCTACTCATCTGACAAAGGGCTAATATCCAGAATCTACAATGAACTCAAACAAATTTACAAGAAAAAAACAAACAACCCCATCAAAAAGTGGGCGAAGGACATGAACAGACACTTCTCAAAAGAAGACATTTATGCAGCCAAAAAACACATGAAGAAATGCTCATCATCACTGGCCATCAGAGAAATGCAAATCAAAACCACTATGAGATATCATCTCACACCAGTTAGAATGGCAATCATTAAAAAGTCAGGAAACAACAGGTGCTGGAGAGGATGCGGAGAAATAGGAACACTTTTACACTGTTGGTGGGACTGTAAACTAGTTCAACCATTGTGGAAGTCAGTGTGGCGATTCCTCAGGGATCTAGAACTAGAAATACCATTTGACCCAGCCATCCCATTACTGGGTATATACCCAAATGAGTATAAATCATGCTGCTATAAAGACACATGCACACGTATGTTTATTGTGGCACTATTCACAATAGCAAAGACTTGGAACCAACCCAAATGTCCAACAATGATAGACTGGATTAAGAAAATGTGGCACATATACACCATGGAATACTATGCAGCCATAAAAAATGATGAGTTCATATCCTTTGTAGGGACATGGATGAAATTGGAAACCATCATTCTCAGTAAACTATCGCAAGTACAAAAAACCAAACACCGCATATTCTCACTCATAGGTGGGAATTGAACAATGAGATCACATGGACACAGGAAGGGGAATATCACACTCTGGGGACTATGGTGGGGTCGGGGGAGGGGGGAGGGATAGCATTGGGAGATATACCTAATGCTAGATGACACATTAGTGGGTGCAGCGCACCAGCATGGCACATGTATACATATGTAACTAACCTGCACAATGTGCACATGTACCCTAAAACTTAGAGTATAATAAAAAAAAAAAAAAAGAGCGAAAAAAAAAAAAATTAAAAGCAAAAAGATCAATGAAAAAAAAAAAAGTTAACATCACCAATGAAGGACAGATGGACATGATATGCTTTCAGATGTGATAGCCTGAGAAGGACACAACATCTCCTATGCAACATTCCAAAGAAGAATGCATAACTTGAAAGTGATCACGAAAGGCTATCTAAAAAACCCCAAACAGGAAATGTTTCATTAAAAAAAAGTTGGGGGCGGGTGTGGCAGTAATCCATTCTTCCAAAATGTCAATGTCAGAAAAAAAAGTCAATGTCAGAAAATAAAAAGAAAGGTTGTAGAAGTATTCCCTATTGAAAGTGGGTAAAGAGACATGGCACTTAAATGCTATACCTGATGACAGACTGGATCCTGTACCACAGAGGAAAATGCTATAAAGAACATTACTGGATCAAATGACAATACTGATGTATGAAAGGTAGATAAGAAAAAAGTATTCTATCAATGTTAAATATATTGAAGTTGGAGAAATGCAAATCAAAACCACAATGAGATACCATTTCATGCCAGTCAGAATGGCGATTATTAAAAAGTCAAGAAACAATAGATGCTGGTGAGGTGGTGGAGAAACAGGAACACTTTTACACTGTTGGTGGGAGTGTAAATTAGTTCAACCATTGCTGAAGACAGTGTGGTGATTCCTCAAGGATCTAGAATCAGAAATATCATCTGACCCAGCAATCCCATTACTGGGTATATACCCAAAGGATTACAAATCACTCTACTATAAAGACACATGCACACATATGTTTATTGCAGGACTATTTACAATAGCAAAGACATGGAGCCAACCCAAATGCCCATCAATGATAAACTGGATAAAGAAAATGTTGCACATATACACCATGGAATACTGTGCAGCCATAAAAAGGAATGAGATCATGTCCTTTGCAGGAACATGGAGAAGCTGGAAGCCATCATCCTCAGCAAACTAACACAGGAACAGAAAACCAAACATCACATATTTGGGTATTCAGACATGAGATTATCAGGCGTGACTTACAGTTTATAATGGTACCCAAAATATGATGTTCTCACTCATAAGTGGGAGTTGAACAGTGAGAACACATGGACACAGGGAGGGGAACAACACACCAGTGCCTGTTGGGGGGTGGGGGGCCAGGGGAGGGAACCTAGTTGATGGGTTAATAGGTGGAGCAAACCATCATGGCACACGTATAGCTATGCAACAAACCTGCACGTTCTGCACATGTACCCCAGAACTTAAAGTAAAATTAACATACATATTTATATATATATGTTATATAGTAGTTATATATATATATGTTATATATATATATAACATATATATGTTATATATATATATAACATATATATGTTATATATATATATATATATATATATATATATAACTACTGGGGCTAAGTAAGAGAATATCTACATTCTTAGGAAATATGCACTGATGTTTGGAGTAAAGGGCCATCATGTATGTGACACCTTCAATTTACTAAGAAAAAAATTAAGTATATAATTATGTGTATGTAACATGTATGGAGAGAGAGAACCATGGGGTGAGGTGGGTGGGGAAAGAAAGAAACCAAAAAGCCAATTGTGTGAAATGCTAACAATAAGTCTTTCTGGGAAAAGGGTGTATGGGTATTCTTTACACTCTTTTTATATTTGCAACTTATCTATAAAATTTAAATTTTTTCCAAATAAAAAGTTTTAAAAAGTGTGCAAATGTCAATATGTATAATCACAGCAAATAAAAATTATTTCATTAAAAAAAAAAAAAGAACAGGCTTGTACACATATCATTATATATGAATTTTTAACAGCAGGCTTGCAGAGTCAGAGAACAGGCACAATTTAAATTTTCATAAATTTTACCAAGTTATCCTCCAAAAAGCAATTGTGCTGAGAATATCATTTATTCATTTATCCCATGTATTGCCTGTCTTTCCCCACTGGAATATAGGCTTTGGGAAAATAAGGCTTTGCCTGGCTTGATCAGTTGTGCAAACCTAGCTCCCAGAACAAATATTTATCAAGCAAATGGCGTGGGCAGGCAAGAGCTACACTGAAATGGATGGGATAAGATACAGAGGTTTAAACCTATGATTTGAAGTTATGAAGGTACTATGGTGGACCTTCACAATTGAGTGGCTCCTCAAAGCTGTCCACATATGAATCCCCAGAACCTGGGAAGATGTTACTTTACAAGGCAGCAGGGACTTCCTTCGTGGATGTGATTAAGTTAAGGGTCTGGAGATGGGGGGAGGATCCTGGGTTATCTGGTGGATCCAGCGTAATCACAAGGGTCCTTATGCGAGGGGCAGTAGGAGGAACGAGGACCGAAGAAGAGGTCAGAGACAGAGACTGGAGGATGCCAAGCTGTGGCTCTGAGGATGGAAGAGGGGGCAAGGAGCTGGGGAATGCAGGTCACCTCTGGAAGCTGGGGAAGCACAGGAGACGGAGTTTCCCTTAGAGCCTCCAGGAGGAACCAGCGCCACCGATGGCACCTTCATTCTGGGACTTCTGATTTCCAGAACTGTAAGAAAATAACCAAGTGTTGTTTTAAGTTCCCAAGTTTGTGGTCATTGTTACAGCTGCAGTAAGAAATTTATCCAGGTAGAAGAATGAAAACAAACATGTAAATCACATACATAGAGGTGGGAAAAACACCAAGTCCCTGAAGCCTCAGCTTTTGTAACTGGGAAGCAAGAGATACAGTCTAAAATCGGTGACCAGGGACACAGGTTCTTCCACATTTCAGCTACAGTGATGGACAGAATGCAAGGATGAAAATCAAAACAGCTCCAAGCAGCTGCCAGAACCTGGAGGTGGAGGGGCTGTCACTTGCCTGCATTTGCTCTTCGGTGTAGATGAATTGGTCATCATGTGGGCATCTGACTTCTGTAAAACTCTATGTTAAAACCTGCCTGGGTGCTTTGGCAAGGTGCAAGGACCGCCTGCAGCAGTGCCACCCCGGAGCCGACACACATACGGCACACTCAGGGCCCAGCGACCCACAATTGCCCACCCAGACATCCAGCGGGGACACCCAGCAATTCAAGGAATAGGATGTCGAGTCAAAGAAGGAAGGCACCAAGTCTGTGGCCTGGCTGTGGACTGTGGACATGTCCACTAGTGGACACTGCACTCCCACCATCCCACCATGCACAGGGGGCCTCCAGGGTTCTGTCCATCTTCACAGAGGTCATGAGGGGCATGGGGCAGTGAATGACCACTGACCTGGCTGCGGGCCACACAACGTGTCCTGCTGGTGCTCTGGACTGCATGCATGTGTGGTCCCTATACCTCCTGTAGCACTGCTGCAGATGGAACCAGGCACTCAGTGGTGCTGGGCAGAGCTCTGCCTGGAGCAGGAGCCACAGCCTTTGCAGGGGCTCAGCCCCACCTCCTCCCCACAGCAGGCATGGCCACTAGAGCATGGCTCTGGCCCTGGGGACTCAGTTTCCTCATTTGTCAATGACATATTTGACAAGGGCTCTTACCCATTGAAGCTTTAGGATTCTGAGAGTTCAGGGGCGATTCTTCCTCTGTGGCCCTGGCCCCTTGCTGGGAAAGGGTGTAGAGAGACTTGGTTCTGCCGTCTCCAGGGTTGAGAGCACTCTGCAGAAGACATCAAACTGGAGATCACATGTGTAGTACACATGCTACACCTGTGCCTGTGTAGCCAGATGTGAGGACAGAGACAGAGCCTGGGCCACCAGCTGATACCCTTCCTGGCTGTGTCACCTGTGTGGATCAAGTCCCCGCCAGCTCCAGCTTCCTCACCTTCCTTGCTATGAAGCTTACCATGCCCTCCTGCCACCTTTCCGGGACTGAGGATCAAATAGAAGAATTCCAGAGGGTTCTGACCCTGCAGCTGAGGGTGTTGTGAAGCCAGGGAAGCTCAGGACCACCCTTCCCCTGCTAAATCAGGCAGCTGGCTAGAGGCAGCCTGAAGTGTAGTTTGATCAGCATCCTAGATTTTACTAGTGATCCTCCTGCTCTGAACTCTGCTTCCAGCTGAGTTGGGAAAGGCCAAGTGAAGTGGCCCCAGAGGGCAGCTCTGGCTTCCCCCAAGACTGCTGAGAGAGAAGGGCCCAGCATCCACAGGGCAGTCTGGGGACACCAGGGGACATCTTCTTAGGCTACTGCTGGAGGGTTCCCGTACAATGCTGCACGCATGTATGCAATACCAGTGTGCTCGTGTGTGCATCTGTATGTGCAATACTTGTGTACATGTGTAGCCAGGTGAACTCAAACACATGTGCACAGGAAAGCACTCTTATCTCTGTATGTGTGTATGTGTGTGCATTCAGGGCTGTACTGCATGTGCATTTATACAGATACACATGAGTTTGCACAGGCCCTTGTGCAGGTGCACTGGCATTCACATATATGTACATGAGAAGCATATGACAGCCTTGCTGTCAATTTCATTCATGGCTACATTTTGTTGGGCTGGCATGTTGTGTTAAAAGAGTCAGAGCCGGCATTTAAAGCCAGAAGATTTTACAAATCCACATGTTCAGCCTCTTTTGAAAAATTGAGGCCCTGTTCCTGCAGGGCAGCCACCAATCATAGCAGATATGTTCACCCTGTCCTGCCCCTCCAAAGTGGTCATGTGATCTCCAGTTTGTCAGAGTCTTCAGCACTCCCTATCACCTCACACCTTACTTGCTTCACCCATTTATGTTACCTCCTTGGCCCCTCTAGGAAGGTGCGATCCTTGGATAAAGCCCAAAGTATGCTTAAGCCTGGTCTACACTGATCCCCCTGCTCCAGCCTGGCCAGCTTCCCCACCCGCCACCTCCACTCATCTTGAACCACTTTGCCTGCCAGATCATTCTGTGCCTCCCCAGGCTTCTCCTGATCTGTGTCCCTGGTCTGCTGTCGCTCCGTACTCCCTCTCATATGGAGTCCTACTCTTCCTCCAGTTCCCCCTCCCCTGCACCCCACCCCGAGCCAGTGGGCTTGACTGTTGATCATGCCTCTGGCAGGCCACAGGAAAAGATTATTGTCTTGTAAGCTGGGACTAGAAATGCTCCCAAGGAGAGAAATAACTTTGTTTGAAAAAAAGCCTTGATATGCCCGTAGTGTTAAAGGTGAGGGTTTAATTGTGATCAGATAAATCACTAAAAACACAACAAAACAACTCTTAAAATGCAACAATAAGAAAATGAACACCTTGATTCAAAAATGTTCAAAAGATCTGAACAGACATTTTGCCAAAGAAGATTTAGAGATGGCAAATATGCATATGAAAAGATACTCAACATCATATGTCATCAGGGAAAACAGCAACGAGCTACCTCCACATGCCTGTTAGAATAGCCAAACCCAAAACACTGACAATATCAAATGCTGGCAATGATGTGGAGCAACTCTCAGTCATTGCTGGTGGGAAGGCCAAATGGCACAGCTACCTTGGAAGACAACTCGTCAATTTCTTACAAAACTAAACATATTCTTATATGATCCAGCAATTTTGCTACTTGGTATTTACCCAAATGAATTGAAAACTTATGTCCACACAAAAACCTGCATGCAGATATTGATAGCACCTTTACTCATAATGCCAAAACTTGGAAGCAACCAACATGTCCTTCAGTAGGTGAATGGATAAACTGTGGTACATCGAGACGATGGAATATCATTCAGCACTAAAAAGAAATGAGCTATCAAGCATAAAAAGACATGGAAGAAATTTAAATGCTTGTTACTAAGTGAATCTGAAAAGGCTACATACTGGATGATTCCAACTCTGTGACAATCTGGAAAAAGCAAAACTATGGAGACAGGAAACAGATCAGTGGTTTCCAGTGGTTATGGGAGAGGGAGGGATGAACAGGCAGAACACAGAGGATTTTTAGGGCAGTGATGCTATTCTGTGTCATACTACAATGGTGGATACGTTTGTCAAAACCCACAGAATGTACACCACTAGGAGTGAACCCTAATTTAAACTGTGGACTCCAGGTGATAATGATATCAGTGTCTGTTCATCAGCTAAAACAGGGACCACTCTGGTGTGAAATCTCTACTTTCTACTTGATTTTGCTGTGAACCTAAAACTGCTCAAAAAATAAAGTCTACTAAATAAAAAAAATAAGTAAGTAGAGCCATGTCTTAAAAGAGAGTTGAATTCTAAAACCAGCTCAGAAGGTGAAATCCCAGTTAACTAAAATTACTTTTGAAGATTTTCTTAAATCGTCCCTAGAGCACAGTATGCCACGTGTCGGCCAACACTGACGTTTTATCCCCCTGCACGTCCATCACAGATACATCACCCTTCCCCTTAGGTCAGATGAGTAGTTGGCTTGCATTCAGAGGCAGCTAACTTTGTATCACAAATACCTACCCATCAACATTAGGATCAATGTAAAGGAAGCTAGAAACTAGTGCTACCATAACAGGAGTCAAGAAATGAAGTAGCAAATTTTAATCTCCTACCCCCAGGCTAATCCCTGGGCATATGGAAGGGAATGAGGGGAAGAATTATCCCACACAATTTAAACCAATACATATTTTCCTCCCTCATATTTTGGAAATTACTATAGTTCAACTCATGTAGGTTAAAGGCATGTATGAGGTGAGTCCTCAGAGTGAGGTTGTCGCAAAGTTGCATAGCATGAAAACATGGGAGGAGTTGGGGGGAAAGGACCAAGTGCAAGAAGAGAGTGGGCAGGGTGAGAGCGGACAGGCAGCTGGGTGGAGGCGTCCAGGAAGAGGAGCTGTTTTCCCATGGGTCCAGGTTGGTGTCGTGTAGAACACAGAGAGCCAGCATGGAATCAGGAGCTCAGAAAACAAGGTGACCGGAAAGATGTTATTGTTAGCAGCAGAATGTATGTGAGTCACCAACGTATGTTAGTGGCGGCAAATCTGTACGGGTTTGCAGCAACCCCAGTTCTAGTCTCCTCAGAAGAATCCGACCGAGGGACAGAAGACATAGTGAGAGACACCCAGGCAAGTTTTTAAGCAGGAGTGAAAGTTTATTAAGAAAGTTTTAGAGCAGGAATGAAAGGAGGTAAAGTACACTTGGAAGAGGGCCAAGTGGGCAACTTGAGAGATCAAGTATGTGGTTTGACCATTGACTTGAAATTTATATGTTGGCAGGCTTCCAGGGGGTTGTGTCTCTTCTCCCCTGAGTCTTCCCTTGGGGTAGGCTGTCTGCATGCACAGTGACCTGCCCGCACTCCGGGGTGCGCAGTGTGTTTACTGAAATTGTGCACATGCTCACTTGAGGCATTCTTCCCTTCCCAGTCACATCTCCCTGGAAGGTCATAAAGCAGTTCAACTCTGCCATTTTGCCTCTTAGTGTGTATGCTTGAGCCCACTCGCCCAACTCCTGAGATCTTATCGCGAAGTTGCTGATCACCAGTTTCAGGTTTTTTCTATCTATTGGGAGACCGCCTTTCCCTGGTGATGGCTGCAACCAATTATTATTTTGGAAAGACAGTGTAACAACCACCTGATCATCACCTGATGGTGGCCTGACATTCTGGGGTGTGAGGCCCTCTCCTGCCCTGCTCATGTCTGACTAGCTACCTATTGCTTCTTGGGAAATGTATAGACATCTTTGGAGGGACATGAACACCACAAGGCATAGAAGTAGGGATGTAGAAGCAATGCGGCCCAGCCCCCAGGGCACAGGCAGGCCCTGTTCACCCTCTCTTATATTTGGGCTTGTGGTGCTGCTTGCAGTGTTTGACTTAATGGGTTTGCTGCTACCCAGAGAAGGAGAATGGATGGAACCCAGAGGATTCACAGTGGGGCTCCCAGGACTTCCACCTCTGGTAAAATATACCTCCATTGCCCTCAAGGTCAAAGTAACCTGGCCTGCTTAGCTTGCAAAGGTCTCCATCTCCTGGATGTTTCTGTGGCTTCCAGGAGCACATGTTCTCATGCCTTCCTGAGGGCTCGCTGGTCCTGCTGAGGGGGCACTCAGCCCCTGCTGCCCCAGGCAGTGCCAGCCACGGGCTCTGAGGAAGAGTCAGGCAGGCCCTGGGCTGCCCCCAGCCCCACTCTGCCTGTGCACTCCCTTCCCCACTCCGGCCCATGGACTCCCCTCACCACTCCGGCCCGTGCATTCCCTTCCCCACTCCGGCCTGTGGACTCCCAGCCCCACTCCAGCCTGTGCACTCCCTTCCCTACTCTGGCCCATGCACTCCCAGCCCCACTCTGGCCTGTGCACTCCCTTCCCCACTCCCCACTCTGGACTTCCTTCCCTACTCCAGCCCGTGTACCCTCTTCCCCACTCCGGCCCATGTACTCCCTCCCCACTGCAGCTCATGCACTCCCAGTCCCACTCCGGCCTGTGGACTCCCTTCCCCACTCCGGCCCATAGACTCCCTTCCCCACTCAGGCCCATGCACTCCCTTCCCCACTGGCCCATGGATGCCCAGCGCTGCTCCAGCCGGTGGACTCCCTTCTCCACTCCGGCCTGTGCACTCCCTTCCCCACTCTGGACTATGGACTCTCTTCCCCACTCCAGCCCTTGCACTCCCTTCCCCATTCTGGCCCATGCACTCCCAGCCCCACTCCCACCCGTGCACTCCCAGCCCCAGTCCGGCCCGTGGACTCCCTTCCCCACTCCGCCCGTGCACTCCCAGCCCCGCTTTCCATATTGCTCTGGCTTTTTCTTGTGAAGGGCCGGATAGTAAATGTTTTAGGCTTTACAGGCCACACGTGGTCTCTGCCGCAATTATTTGTTTGAATTCTTGTCTCTTACAACCCTTTAAAAATGCAAATACAGTTCCCAGCTTGCACAGAGACAGACAGCAGTGGGATTTGACTCTAGAGTGCGGCTTGCCAACCCCTGTTCTAGAATCTTAAAAACCTCCTTCTCTTATGTCGGAATCAGCCATGACCTAGTTGTCAGAGGGTCCCAAGCCTTGACCCCTCTTTTCCACATAAGAATATTTTCCTTCCCAGAACCGTAGCATTTTCTTTGCCTCATAAAATGATGGCTTTTTATTCAGAAGTGGCACAGTCCAGGGAGGTGCAGGAGAGGAATTTCAAAGGATAGGTAGAAAGCCCACCTCCTTCTTGAAGTGATTTGGAGTCATGCAGGCCTGAGTTCCTGTCCTGGCCCAGCCTCTCACTCAAAATGTGTCTCTCTGAGCCTCAGTTTTCTGTTAAGATGCAGCCGGAGACAGCAGTGTTGCTGTGAGCTGTGAGAGTGTGTGCTGGCCCTCGGAGCCTGCCGGCCTTCTATCCCTCCCCTCCCGCTCTCCTCCTGTCCCCCCTGACTTCCCTCTTCACTCTTGTGTAGGGAGCCCAGGATCCCAATGTCTGGGAACTTCCCTGCTCCATATTGACAAGATGTGGCCCTAGGTCCCGCCCCTCCCCCATCTGGGGCACAGTGGGGTGGACCATGCAGCACAGGCTGGGCCCATCCTACCACTTAGCTTCCAAGACACAGTGCGTTACTGTTGAAAAGTGCCCCCACCAAGAAGAGATATGTTCTAACTCTAACTGTACTGGGAGTTACAGCCCTAACTCCCAGTACTTCAGAATGTGAACTTGTTCGGAGCTAGAGTTGTTGCAGATGTAATTATTTAAGATGAGGTTGCACTGGAGTAGGGTGGGTCTCTCTAATGCAATATGACTGGTGTCCTTATAAAAAGGGGACATTTGGACACAGACACACACATGGGGGAACCCCAAGTGGTCATGAAGGTGGAGATCAGGGTGACAGCCTACAAGATAAGGAACTCCAAAGATTGGCAGCAAATAGCAGGAGCCAGGAGGGGGACTTGGAACAGACGCTATCTCAGAAGCAGACATCCCTGGCCGCAGTTTCATCCTGGACTTCCTTCCCCCAGAACTGTGAGACAAGAGACATCTGCGGCCCCTAGTGTGTAGTGCTCTGGCAGCCCTAGCCAACTCTATGCAAGGTCTGTATCTTTCTCAAGGAAAGCAAGCCATAAAAAGATGGCCTTGGGGTCCTGGCTGTCTGTCTTTCTTTACCAAATTAGTGGAATTTTCTGTGATCAGAGAGAACGATGCTGATGCAATAGACAGACAGAGGGGATTACTACTATATGGGGGCATAGAGGGCCCTCATGTCTAGCCCTCCCTGGACTTCGCCTCTGTTCTGCCCCAGGTGGAGCCCAGTATTCGTTTGCTGAGCTGTGCTGTGTGCAGCTGTGGGGTGAATGGCTCTGGGCCCTGCTGGGGTCACTGTGGGAAGTGTAGTCCTCAGTTCTAGTAGCAAGAGCCTGGGGCACAGAGGTGTGGGAGGCAGGAGCTACTGGTTGGATGGGAGGAACCTGGGAACACGTGTGGGTCCCTGTGTGGGAGCCCTGAGCCCTAAGAACACAACTGGCCATAGGGAGGTTGCTCTGTGTTCTGATTCTCTGCTTCCCCAAGCGGTCAGTCAGGCTCTGTCAAGCATCATGGCCTTGACTTAGCTGTGCTTGGCCCATTCAAAGGAAGACACATGAATGACATTTGCAAGGAAGGTGGCAATGGCTCCTCCCACCCCTGTATGTGTGGTCCTTGGTGATGTGCTGTGACTCTCCTGTCAAGGGGGGACCCATATCCCCACCCTTTGAATTTTGGACTGACATTTTGTGAGCTATTGGAACCCCGAGAGCACCCCAGCCCCCATGAGGAATCCTGGGCAGGCCTTGTGAGGATGAGTCCCTCTGGGTGACCGTTGGCCACCGAGCGAGGGAGTGACACAGCCTGAGACCAGGGCTCAGCAAGCTTTTGTATAAAGAGCAAGATAATAGATATTTTAGGCTTTGTGTGGCCACATGCAGTTTCTGTCTCACCTCATCAACTGCTGTTGCAGCATGAAGCAGTCACTGGCAACACATAACTGTATGAGCCTGGCTGTGTGCCAATAAAACTTTATTTACACAAACAGATGGTAGACGGGTTTGCAGTTTGCTGAGTTCTGCTCAAGCCTCAGCTGAAGACATCCCTAGATGACTTTAGCCACACAACGTGCCCCAGTGTAAGGACCATGGCTGAGCCCAGACCAGATGGTCAGACCACAGGAGTGAGAGCAAAGAAGATGGTGGTTGTTTTAAGCCTAAGTTTTGGGTAGTTGGTAAGTAGCAATAAGTAGCTCATACAAGGCAGGTCTGTGTGTGGAACCAGTAGGGAGGGCAGGAGAAGGTGGGGTTGAGCCATGCCAGGGACTGAGGATGACAAGTGTGAAAAATGACCCTCTGCAGGAAGTCCAGGGCAAGTCAGTATTCCCAGACATTGCTTGGGATGGGGATGCCAGGGCCAGGGCCCAGAAACACTAGGTTACAGGTTGAATCATGTCCCCCAAAATTTATATCTCAAAGTCCAAATCACCAGTGTCTCCAAATGTGACCTCATTTAAAGATAGGGTCACTGCAGATGTAATAGTTAGGATGTGGTCATCCTGGAGTCATTCTGGAGTAGGATGGGCCCTTGTATGAGTCAGCTGAGGCTGCGTAACAGAATGCCCCATATGAGTGGCTTAAACAACAGAGGTTCATTTCCCCACAGTTCCAGAGGCTGGAAGTTGGAGGTCAATGCGTCAGCAGGGTTGGATTCTCCCACGGCCTGTCTCTCTCTGCCGTGCAGCTGGCCGCCTTTTCGCTGTGTCCCCATGTTGTCATTCCTCTGTGCACTTGCATCTCTGGGGTCTCTTTGTGTGTCCCAACCCCCTCTTCTTACAAGCACCCCAGTCAGGTTGGATTAAGGGCTACTTTTAAAGGCCTCATTTTCACTTTATGGCCTGTTTAAAGGCCTAATTCCAAATTTGGTTCCATTCTGAGGTTCTGGGGGTTAGGACTTAGATATATGAATTTTGGGAGACAGAACTCAGCCCATAACATCCCTGAATTCTATGTGATGAGGATCTTCATAAAAGGGGAGCTGGGAGCTGCCATGCACAAGGAGAATGCCACGTGAACATGAGCGGGAGGTCAGTAATGCTGAAGGGCTCCAACCACCAGCAGAAGCTAGGCGAGGGCCCAGGACAGACAGACCTTCAGGGCCTTAAAGGGAACCCGCCAGTCTACACACACCTTGATCGAGGACTTGCAGCCTCCAAAACTGTGAAAACGCAAATGTCTGTTGAAGCCCTCAGGCTGTCGTACTTTGTTACAGCAGCCCTGGAAAACTCACAGATGCTGTAATTTAAATTTTAATTAGAGAGATGATACAGTATTTGGTGCCCTGCATGGATGAAGCAGGAGGGTTCTTGTGTTAGATGGGAAAAGCACTTAGCGCATTGCTGGGTGCCAGGCGGGCCCCCTAAGGGAGAGTCAGACATAAGAAACAGGAGGGAAGCTTACCAGTGAAATCCATTTATGGAAACATTGAATACTCAGGTTCTGGCTGGGCGCGGTGGCTCATGCTTGTAGTCCCAGCGCTTTGGATGACCAAGGTGGGAGGATCACTTGAGTCCAGGAGTTTGAGACTAGCTTGGGCAACATAGTGACGCCCCATGTCTACAAAAAAGACAAAAAATTAACAGGGCATGGTGGCATGCACCTATAGTCCCAGCTACTCAGGAGGCTGAAGTGGGAGGATCCCTTGAGCCTGGCAGGTTGAGGCTGCAGTGAGCCTTGCATCACTCTACTCCAGTGTGGGTGACAAAGCAAGACCCTAACTCTAAAAAATCCCAAAAGACTCAGGTTCTTAGATACAAGGGCTTCCACATGAGCTCTGACAGCCACAGCATCTGCTGCACACTGGAGTCTGATGCCAGATTCTGAAAGAAGGGTGCTCAGAGGGGCTATAGCCTCTGAGCTATAGCTCAGGGGATTGCAGCCTGCCTGGTCAGCCAAATCAGCCAGGGATTGGAGAGTAACTTCCCATCCTACCAGGAAGAGCTGGAGCAGAGTGTGCATAAATGTGGATCCAACAAGAGGGCTCAACCCAGTGATTTACGATTGATAGCCAACTGGTCAGACCAGTGGCCTCCCCACCTTTGAGCCAGTTGATAGCAGCAGGGCTGGGGCAGGGCCGCCTTCCTGGCCCACTCCCGATCTCTTAGGAGGCAGGAAGGAAGCTTGACAAACACTGGGCAGAGGACGGCTCAGGGGGTGAGGGGAGCTATACAGTCATGTCATTCTTGCCTTGTCCAGTGCCCTTGAACCTGGCTGACCTCCCCAGAAGTTAGTGAAGGTTGGAGGATGTAAGTCCTCAGCCTGGGAAGGAAAGTGCCAGAGGAGATGGGGTGTTTTCCATCTGAGGGGTAGCTTGTGAGTGAGCTGGCTCCAGAGGAACTGGGAGGAATTCACTCTGTAGCCAGGTGCCTAGCCTAGGGCAGAGAAGGCCAGGTTGTCCCATCTCAAGCCCAAGCCCCTTTCCCACCTCCGGGTTGGACTGATGGGAGAGGATAGAAACCTGGAAGGGCTGCCATGACCCTATGTGCAGAGGGTTCACCCGAGGTGAACACCTCCAGCCCCCTCCAGGATTCAACTTCTACCCGCTTCCAGACAGCAGAAGCTTTGCCTCCCTCCTGAAGGACAGTAGGAGCTTGGTTTGGGAAGAGAATAGAGGAGGAGAGAGTGCCCTGGGACTTCTCAGCCCAAAAATTCTTGGCCTGGACTTTAGCTTCTGGAGTTTGGGGAGTTTCTTTTTGCCTGTCTCTGGATGAGGATGAGATTCCAGAGCAGCTGTGGTGGCTGGAAGTGGCCAACGTGCCTTGAAGGGACCTTGGAAGATGTTGGGCAGGTGAGCTGCAGGGGCCCAGTGGTGTAGGGAGAGTTGGGCCTTCAGGAAGACCCTCCCCAGCCCCAGCCTGGGACCCTGCACTGCCCTCACCCTGAGGATGCTGGTGAAGTACATGGATGTGCCTGGCAGAAACCAGCCTCCAGAGTGGGCCGCGGTGGCGATGGACAAGTGGGAAGCTGAGCAGGTGAGAGAGAGCAGGGTGGAGATGGTTCAGGGACTAGCCCACAGCGGGGCTTGAGAGTGTGTGGAAGCCCCATTGTGAGCTGCATTGTGTCCCCCAAAATTCATGTGTTGAAGTCCTAACCTCCAATGCCTAAGAAAAGGACTCTATTTGGAGACAGGGTCTTGCAGAGGTGATTAGGGTAAAATGAGGTCATTGAGGTGAGCCCTAATCCATTAAGACTTCTTAAAAAAGGGGATTAGGACACAGACACACACAGATGGAAGACCATGTGAGGACACAGGGAGAAGGTGGCATCTACAAACCAAGGAGAGAGGCTGCAGGAGAAACCTACCCTGCGGCATCTTGCTCTTGGACTTCCAGCCTCCAGAGCCGTGAGGAAATAAGCGTCTGTTGTTTACACCCACCCCCCCTTCTCTGATTTTGCTATGGTAGCCTAAGCAAACTAAGACTCCCTGCTCTGAGGACACTGTGAACTTAGTAGGGGCTCTTTGTAGGGGCTGTGATGTCGCCACATTGTGCACGGGCCATCTGTGCTATCCAATGCTGGGGTCACATTCATTCGGTAGCAGGAGTGAAACCTCCCTGAGTTTCTAGCTGGGGCCATAGCCTGCAGCCAGGCCTGGGCAAAAGGGCTGCCTGGAGCTTGGGCCCCAGGTCTCAGTGATGTGTATTTTATACTTCTGGTTTGCTATGGTTTAAATGTGAGCCTCCAAAATTCAGGTGTTGCCAATGTGCAGTGTTAAGAGGTGAGGCCTTTACAAGGTGATTAGGCCAGGAGGGCTCCTGCTGGGAGGGGATCTGTGCCCCCATAAACAGGCCTGATGGAGGGGGTGGTGTCAGGCTTGCCCCTCTGCCTTCTGCAGTGTGAGGGTACAGCACGAAGCCCTCACCAGGCCAAATGCCGGTGCCTTGGCCTTGGCCTTCCAACCTGGGAGAAATGCATTTCTGTTCTTGATGAACTGCCCAGTCTTTGGTGTTCCATTTTTGCGGGACAAACGGGCTCAGGGTTATAGTCCCATACCACGTTGTATACCTTGTTGCTCAAATGGCTCCTGCCTTGGCCATTGAGCACTCTCTCCGTTGGCTCCTGGGCACCCTTATCACTGGGGTTTTGTTCTCTGAGCACTTCCTGACGTTCTGGTGCTATAAGAGTCACCAGGATCATCTTGTACATTCTCTGCCTGGTGCTACAAGAGGCACCAGGATCATCTTGTACATTCTCTGCCTAGTCCCAGAACCAGCCATTTCCCTAAGGAACCCATCTCCTTTTATTTGGGGAACGGTGTTAGACACCAAGGTCAGGATGAGCAGTGCTCCTTGCTAGGGAGTGTCGTTTCTTGTAGGCCCTCTCAACTAACAAGGCACAGAAACACATGTGTGCGCCGATTAATAAACACCTCTGGGGACATTTCTGCATGTAACCATCTGCACCTATGGTAAGCAGAAACGTGGGTTCCCACTGACACCTCCAACTCGAATCTGTCGCCACATGGGTCATCCTGGGCTCTGCCCCTTGCTTATCTGTGACTCTCACCGCAGCAGGGAGAAGCTTGCTCCCACTGGCTGCCACCCACTTCCTTAATTAATCACTCAGCTCCAGGATGCACGCATTGTGGTATGAGCAGCGCTGACCTGGAGAAGTGGCTTCGCCGGCCAGAGCGCAGGGCTGTGTACAGTCCTTCCACTTTCCTCTCAGAGGCTCCACTCATGTCCAGAGTTACTCAGCTAACCCCATTTCCCTGTCCCTTCAGAGAGGTTCTTTCATGCATTGTTTTGTTCTAGATTCCTTATGTAAGCAGTTCATTGACTCCTGACGTCACGGTGTCCCTCAGGCCTACGCCTTGCCTAGACCAGTCAGTGGCGCCCATTACTGGCGTTGTCTCACCTTTGATGCCTGCTCTCCACACATCTGAGGAGGATGTGAGTCTTATGGTGCCACATCCTTTCTCTCTCTCCCCTTTCCACATGCCCCAGCTGCCACCGCCCTCACCCTGGGCCAGCGATCCCCTCTCCCTGATCACAACCTCAGCTTGGCTTCCTTCTGGCTTCTTCCCTGGAGCCCAGCCTCCCTGCCGAGCTGTCCTGCCGTGAGGCCAGTGCTGTCCTTCTCTGTCTGCACACTTCTCAGCATGTGAATGAAGTCCTCCTTCCGCTTGGAGAACCCACGGAGAGAGCTCAGGCTGCTGTTTTTGGGGAAATGGTCCCAGAGCTTCCTCATCATGGGGGAGAAAGACTTCTTTCCACGTAGGAGTCTCACTCCACTCCCCGGGAGAGAGCCCTTAAACCGCTGCACCGAAAATGCCCCTGTGAGGCCTTCGCGCTGAGCCCTAATACCAGCCACACCAAGCCATGACTTCCACAGACAGAGAACCAGGGCAGGCAGAACCCCCGAGCGCCAGGGTCGCACTTGAGGATTTCCCCTCAGCTCTGTGTCAGCACTGCCTGCGGCAGACACCGGGACGTGCAGCTCCCTCAGCTGGAATGAGGTGGTCGTCCCCTGGCGGCCAGCAGGGCTTGGGGTAGCCTTTGGGGGATTTCCTTGGCTGAAGAGAACTGGCTCAAACAAGGCCATATGTCCTTCCAGTGACTGATGGACACCAGGGAGTGAGGCCGGCCCTGCCTCCCCATCTTGGGTCAATTCTGCAAGGCCGCCAGCTTTCCAGCTCCTTGGGGGTGGTCAAGGCCTGCATCAGGGTTGTGCTGGACTCAACCGGTACCTCCACCGATATTCGCTTCCTGCCTGCCCTCCAGCAGTGTGGGTTGCCAGGGCAGCGCGCTTCCTGTATGTCTCTGTCCATCTCAGAGTCTGCTTCAGGGAGATCAATACCCTGCTTAGAGCAACGAGCTGGCCAGGAAGGTGCCCCCGTCCCAGCCAGGCCACGGCGCTCCTCCCCACATGGTAAGGACCCAGCTTGGTAGCTGGGACGCTGGCTCTCTGCCCAGCTCCCACCCAGACCCAGCCTGTGCTTAGCACCGGGCTGCGGGCACAGCCAAACCCCCATGGCTGGAGACACGGAGTCCAGACAAGGGGGGCTAAGGAGGTTCTCACCAGGGTCTGGAGTTCGGGTGGCCTGGCCTGGGGGGAACTAAGTGAGGAGAGCTGGTAGCAGGAAAGGAAATCGCTGGGCCTGGGGGCTCTGGCCAGCTGGGGACGCACAGCCCAGGCCGAGGGGATGGCTCCCCTTAGCCAGTGGATAGTCACCATGCAGCAGAGGCCCAACATGACCTGTTCTGGTTCTTAAAGACCAGCTAGAAATCCTGACCTTTATGTGAAATATCCCGGTCTTTAATGCTGGTTCCACTTCTCAAACACAAGCAAAGAAACAAATAAAACCCAAGTGTGGCTGAGTCTCCCACACAGCAGTGAGAGGAGAGGGAAGGTGCTGTAGCGCTGGCTGTGTCGGGGGTCATTAGCACCCTCTTTTAGACTGCATTCTAACAATTCCCCTTAGGACCTTGCCCATAGCCACCATCCCGCTCATTTCTCTCCTTTGTTCATGGACACAAGCCCTGTTGCACAGTCTTTGTCCTCTCCTGTGGTCCAGCTCTTCCTGGATCCACTGAGTCCCCAGTCCGCCTCCCAGAGGGAGTCCCTGTGAGCCCGCTGGATGGTGGCCCATTTCAGGCCCCATGCTGGAGGCTGGGCAGGGCTGATAGTGCCACACTGGACATGGAGGAGCCCGGTGACCCAGGAAGGGTGCTGGGTGGTCAAGTCCTTTGGGAGTGGGGGAGGGGAAGGAGCGTCTGCCCCAGCTGCTCAGGCGGTGTGTGGTGGGGCCTGAAGGCTGACGGGTACTGCTTGGGGTGCTGGATCTGTGCTGCTCAGAAGGGCCTGTCTCCCTTGGGTATGTAAAGGAGGTGACATCACCAGAAGTGCTCTGTGAGAGGAAGCAGCATTTACTGGAAAGATAGTTGGTTAAGAGCAGCCTGGAGTATGGGGGGCCTGAGGGTGTGGTACCAGCAGAACTCAAGGACGTGGCAATTGGCAGAGGAGAAACTTGCCTGAAGCAAGGCAAGGAGACAGCTTGGGTGGAGTGGAGGGAGAGTGGAGAAAGGGGCACCATTGCCAGAGATGGAGGCTGCAGCTGGGGCCATAGGCCCAAGGCCTAGCAAGAAGCCATGGAGGAAGAGACCAAAGGGCTGCTTTCTAACCAGCTGAGCAGAAGACCAGGGGAACTCGCTGTCATTCTGCAGTGCAGACAACCTCCCAGTGGGCCTCTCGCTCCCAAAGCTTCAGCACACAGGGCTTCATATGAATAGGCCATACACACATGAACATGTGTTTGTGCACTTGTGCCTATTTGTGCACATGCATGCGTATATGTATAACATGTGTGCACGTGCATGTGTGTATGTATTCACGTGTGCATGTGTATGTTAAAGACAACAGCCATTTCATGCCAAAGTCAGAGGCCAAGGTTGCCCTGAGACCACAGACCCACGGATAGCTCACAGAGGCCTTTGGACTTCTTCAAGGCATGGAGTGAGGTTCAACCAGCCAACATCTGGGTTACGCATTTATTTTCTTAGAGTAAATAATCTTAGGGGTGGGGAACAGCTGACACAGTGTGGTTTTTTTCTCCATGTGATTTCGAAGTGATATCCACCAGGACTTCTGTCCTTAGGCTTCTTTTCTTTTCCCCAGTTGTCAAGGGGAGTAAAGACTCCAGAACTGTGTTTAGTCCTTCAAAGGAAAGTCCACCCCTGGGCGGAGAGAGAAGTGCTCTGTGAGAGGTGCTCAGAGCACCTCTGAGTGCTTCTGATACCAAAATAACCAGCTTCCCAGGCCTTTTTGTCTCCTCAGTACGATGCATGAGATGAAAGTTCCTTCGGAAAACTGAGCATCTGAGACCCCATGGGGATGAAGTTCCATGGAGAAGAAGTTGTAGTGCTGCCTCTGCCTCAGGGGTTAGCCTCCAAGTCAGTGAGTGAAGGAAAGAAGCTTGTGTGGTCAAAGTGATTTGCAGGAGCCTCTTCAGCCACTTGCCAAGCACAATTCTTCTGGACCTGTCCACACAACTCCATTCAGTAAATCTCCTGCACACTCAAAGCTTGAGAATCACAAAGACAGTCTAAAGAAAACATTTCTCTCTTCTTCCTTCTTCTTTCCCTTCCAGACCCCACCCTGAAAAGGGTTTGTGGTCAGACATCCAGCTTTTCAAATCTTTCACCTTTAAGATGGCTGTAATCCCTACTGTGTGGGGCAGATGTTGGCTGCCCAACCCAGCAGCTACTTCCAAAAACTTCCACTCTTGCCTTCCTCCCACACCAGAGGCTAGAAAAGCAGCTCATTCCTTTCCCAGTCTCCCTTGCAGTAAGTGTGACCAGATAGCCCAGCTCTGAGTAATGAAATGTGAAAGGGACTTCTGGGAAGGCATTTGTTTCATTTTGCTTTGTTTTACCTTGATAAAAGAGACAGACACCAGATGAGAATGGAGAGGGCTACTCTTTTCCTCCTATTTTCCTTTGAACATGGATGTGATGCTGGATTTGTGGCAGCCATTTGAAACCCTGAGTTGTCAAGCATGAGAGCAAAATGTCAACAGGCTAAGGAAGTCAGAACGTAATCATGAAAGGAGCTGAGTTCTTCACAGCACCCTTACATAATGGGCCAACTGGGAGACTCATCTGCCTCTGTGATTCTTGTTTATTTGTTAGAATAAGTTCAGACATGAGTGACAGAAAGCCTAAACTGATGATGTTAAAGAAAATATAAGTTTATTTCTTATAGAAATCCAGGCCATAGATGAAAACATGGCTCCACAAATTTCAGGGACCAGATTCAATATGTAGCTTTCATCGTGTGGCCTAAGATGTTGCTCAAGCCCCAGCCATCACACGTGGCTCCAGCCACCAAGATGGAGAAAAGGAGAGTTGATAAGCAGGACTTCTCTCTGTAACACACTCTGGAAGTTGCAGGCACCACTTCCATCTACCAGAACTTAGTCACTTGACCACATTTACTACTTGCGGGACTGAGAAAGGTAGACTCTACTTGGACATCCATGTGCCCAACTAACATTTGATATGTTAAGGAATGACTAGTGGTGACTGTTGCATGAGTAAACATTAAAAGGTTTACATATAGTTAGTCACATTGTCTGTTACTTGCAGCCAATAGCTTTCCTAGCTCATACTCGGTGAATTTCAAAAGCATTTCTCAGATTTCCGTTTCCAACCAACATGGGAAAGTGGAGACTTAATTATTCTTCCTGCATGAAGCAATAACAAACCTGGGCAAAATACAAGAAACAATTACATTCAAAACTTTAGATGTCAAGCTGTGAAGGACAGTGATTCCTGAATGATGAAATCGAATGAGGGAAAGCCAACTTATTGCCTCGAGAGCATTTCCAGGTGGAGGTGCTGGGAGGAGAAACCCAGAGAAACACAAGAAGAGAACCCTGAAGATCTTCAGAGAGTTTCCCTCAAGTAATCAGCTGTAAACATGTCAGTGCTTGTATGTGAGGGAACGAACTGAGGTTAGGAGAAGAACCATTAGAAAAGATTAGAGGGAACAATGCCTGGGGCTGATACAGCTCATATAGGTCCATAGAGTGCCTGTTTCCACCAGCCAGTCTAGGAAACCTCTTAATTCACACAGCATTAGATACCATACTCAGGTATTGTCTTTCAGATTTATTAGAGCAGCATTTATCTACCAATGGTCTTGCATCGATAACAAATCCGAAAGATGATACTTGAAATGATCAAACTGCTTCCCAATAACTTAACTGAGTACCAGAACAAAATTTAAGAATATTTATAGAAATACAAAGCCAGCACAAACATAGTAAAATTCACAATGTCTGGTACCCAGTAAAATATCTTCAGGCATACAAAGAAACAGAAAAATATGACCGTTACTAAAGAAAAATCAAACAATCAAAAGCAAATCAGAACTGACACAGATGTTAGAATTATCAGACAAAGGCATTAAAACATTTATAGTTGCATTCTATATGTATAAAAGCTCAAGTAGAGACCTAATCAAACTTCTGCAGATAAAAACTACAATGTCTGAGATGAGAAATTAATGGCAAATTACACGTTGCAGAAAAAGAGATGAATGAAATTGAAGATACAGCAAAAGAAATAATATAAGGTGATACACAGAGATAAAAAATATAAAATAAATAAACAGTACATCAGAGGAAACTTCAAGAAACCTAATAAATGTTTAATTAGGATTCCCAAACAAGAGAGAGTTTAGTTAAAAAAAAAGATATATAAAGAAACAATGGCCAAAAAATGACAAACTATGATATAAACAATTAATCTACAGATGCAAGAATATCAACAAACCCTAAGCACAAGAAACATAAAGAAAAAGACACCAAGATACATCATGATCAAATTGCTTAAAACCAGTAATTCAAAAAAACCTTAAAATGAGCCATAGAAAAAGGCATATTACATACAGAGGGACAAAGATAAGGATAACAGCATATTTCTTGTTAGAAACAATACAAATGAGAAAACAGTGGAATATCATCTAAATGCTGAAGGAGTGGAGGATGGGGGAGGATTGTTAACCTAGAATTCTATACTCAGCAAAAAACAAAGGCAAAGTAAAGAAACTTTCAACAATAGCTGAAAGAATTACCAACAGAACCACTCCAAAAAAATACTACCAGAAGTCCTTCAGGCAGAAGGAAAATTATACTAGATGAAAATATGAGTTTATAAAAAAGGATGAAGAGCCCTGAAAATGGTAACTATGTGGGAAATGTTAATACTTCTTTCTTATTATCTGAATCTTTCCAAAAGCTAATTGATGGACCAAAAGTAATAACAAGGTATTTTGGCTAATGTAAAGGCTAATGTAAATAAAGGGGCATAATATCACTTGAAGGTGACCTGTGATAAATGATGTTTACTAAAAATTCTAAAGCAACCATTAAAATAACAGTTATAGATATAAGCCAACAAAAGAGATAAAGTGAAATAATAAAAAAATGCTCAATTAAACAAAAATAAATAGACAGGACAAATAGAGAACAAGTAGCAAGATGGCAGATTTAAACCTAGCTATATCAATAAATACATTCAATGCAAATGGTCATGACACTCCAGATAAAAGACAGAGATTTCCAGATTGGATAAGAAAGCAAGACTCAAGTGTATGCTACTATAAGAAATCTATTTCAAAAATAAAGTCACAAATAAGTAAGAAGTAGGAGGATGGGAAAAGATATACCATGCTAACACACATCAAAAGAAATATGTAGTAGCTATTATATATCAATATCAGACAAAGTAAATTTCAGAGCAAAGAATATTACCAGAAATAAAACAGGTAATTTCATATTACCATTATTAATGGAGCCAACTCATCAAGAAAAATAACAATCTAAAACATTTGTGCACCTAATAACAGAACCTCAAAATACACTAGCCAGTAAGTGATAGAACTTCAAGGACAAATAGATAAATCTACAATCATAATCTAATATTTAAATACTCTGACCTCAATAATTGATAACTGATAAAAGAAATAAACAGAAAATCAGCCACAATATAGAAGCCTTAAATAACACTATGAACAAACTTGCCCTAATGGACATTTATAGAACACTCAATTCAATAACAGTAGATACATATTCTTTTGTAGTGCATGAAGAACATTTACCAAGACTGACTACATTCTGGGCCATAAAACAGTCCCAATAAATATTAAAGGATCCAAGGTCACATAAAGTCTATTTTCATATTATAACAGAATTAAATTAGAAATCAATAACTAAAAGATAACCTGGAAATCCCCCAAGTATTTGAGAAGTAAGTAGCACACTTTTAAATAACCCATGGGCAAAGGAAGATATTTTTTAAAATTGTAAAGGTTTTTGAACTGAATAAAATCAAAATGTGACATATTAATACTTGCAGATGTTATTAAAGCAGTACTTAGAGAAAATTTATAGCACTGATGCTTGTATTGGAAAAGAGGAATGATCTCAAATCAATGTCCTTAGTTTTCACCTTAAGAAACTAGGAAAAAAAAAAGCAAATTACGTTTAAATAAAGCAGGTCTGGGCACGGTGGCTCACTCCTGTAATCCCAGCACTTTGGGAGGCTGAGGCCGGTAGATCACCTAAGGTCAGGAGTTCAACACCAGCCTGGTCAACATAGTGAAACCCCGTCTCTACTAAAAAAACAAAAATTAGCCGGGCATGGTGGCGGGCGCCTGTAATCCCAGCTACTCGGGAGGCTGAGGCAGGAGAATTGCTTGAACCCCGGGGGCAGAGGTTGCCGTGAACTGAGAAGGCGCCATTGCACTCCAGCCTGGGCGACAACAGGGAAACTCTGTCTCAGAAAAAAAAAAAAAAAAAAAGAAAAAGAAAAAAGAAAGAAAGCAGAAGTAATAAAGATTAGACTGGAAATAAGTGAAATAGAAAACAGAGAGGGTGAGAGAGTGTGCGTGGCGGCGTGTGAGTCCTGTTTTATTATTCCTATAGTGCTCTGTAAGCTCATTTTTCTGCAGCTCTTGTGTGTTTTCTTGTTTTATTTCTTCAATGTCTGCCTCTCTGCTCTCTCCTAGGTCTGCCAGCCAGAAGAGCAGATCTGATTTGAGGGCAGCTGGGAAGCCGTCCAATCTGGAGAGCCTCTACAATTAGCAAAACAAGGTCTGGAATTCCTGGACTTCACTCCTTGTTAGCGAGAAAGCGAAACACGTGATGTTCTGCTTTGCTCTCAGTGTCAAAACCTTGTGCTCATGGGCCCTGGCGGCTACACAGAAAGCCCTGAGGACTGAAACCCTGCATGGGTACATTTTGATGGGGCAGGAAGAAAAGTTCTGGAGTGTGGAGAGCAGAGGTCCAGAGCATTCACTGATTTAGCCACAGAAGAAACAGATGCGGAAACCGGGGCACAGCAGGCGAAGTGAAACTTCCCATGTTCCAGCAAAGCCCAGTCCATAACGTGAGGCTTTGTGAGGTTTGTGTGTGCGACCTTCACCCCTTCACCTGGACCCTCTCTTTGTCCTCCTTTCGCACCCAGTGATGTGTGGCCTGGATCACTTCCCTGCCCTCAAGTCTTGCCCTGGCCTGACGTTCAGCGGACCCTCCGTGCATTAAGGATGGAGGATGGTTCCTTGTGCTTCCTCTACCAGGTGCACTTGTATCTGCTCGGAATTCTGGAAGAGCAAAGACCCACTGGCCCCACTAATCCATCTATTGATCCTGCCCCGGTCAGCAGGCTGGGTCTAGCCTCCACACTGCCGCTGCTCAGGGTCTGTGGAGGAAGTCGCTGCAGCCATTCAGCCAGGTGGGTCTTTCACAGGGGTGAGGGCAGCACAGAGCTCAGAACCTGGGGCTCTGGTTGCAGGAGGACTGCAAGTGATGAGCCCACAGAGCATGGGGACGGGGAAAGGGGAAGCCGGAAAGCCGCACATTGTGAGCAAGGGGTCACAGGGGAGATGGGGAGCCATGGGAGGATGCCTGTCCAGTTGTCACTGCCCACACCTACCGTGCAGTGGAGGAAGACCCCCGACGCTCTGGGCCTGCCTTGGGGGCACCCGGTAGTCCCCAGGCAAGGACTGACCTGTCTCCGCTGGGAGGACGCGCTGCACAGGGCAGATGGAAGTGCCTGCGAGGGCCAGCCTGAGCTGTGAGGTGGTGGGGTCCAGTTGTTATAGGCACAGGACGCCACAGCAAGGGAAGGGAGGGCAGAGGCCAGGAAAGGAAGCCGCTCAGGGGTCGGATGGCCTCGTTCCTGCCCACCACAGCAATTACTCCTGAAACTGGTACCACCCTGCTCTAATGTCCCCTGGCCAGGGTGGGGACAACCTGACTCATTGTAGCCTGAAGTCCCCGGGTCCCCAGAGCCCCCGTTGCTGATACACAGCAGGATGATTCACCCCCCTGTGGAGCTCCTGGAGCCTCCCCTCATGACAGCCAGCTTCTGAGGCCCATGCTACCGGTATGTCACCACACGTGGGGGCACGTACACCCCATATGAGTTTGCCTGGGTTGACACGACAAACTAGCAAAGACCGGGGGCTCAAACAACAGACTTCTATCGTCTCTCAGTCACGGAGCCTGGAAGTCTGAGATCAGGGTGTCTGCAGGGTGGGCTTCTCCTGAGGCCTCTCTCCTTGGCTTGCAGATGGCCGCCTTCTCCCTGTGACCTCGCGTGGTCATCCCTCTGTGCATGTCAGGGTGGTCATCTCCTTTTTTTTTTTTTTTTTTTTTTTTTTGAGATGGAGTGTCGCTCTGTTGACAGGCTGGAGTGCAGTGGCGTGATCTCGGCTCACTGCAAGCTCCGCCTCCCAGGTTCATGCCATTCTCCTGCCTCAGCCTCCTGAGTAGCTGGGACTACAGGCGCCTGCCACCATGCCCGGCTAATTTTTTGTATTTTTAGTAGAGACGGGGTTTCACTGTTTTAGCCAGGATGGTCTCGATCTCCTGACCTCGTGATCTGCCCTCCTCGGCCTCCCAAAGTGCTGGGATTACAGGCGTGAGCCACCGTGCCCGGCAGTCATCTCCTCTTTTTATGAGTACAACAGTCATACCAGATTAGGGCTAACCAATGAGTTCATTTTAACTAAAAGCTCCTAGATACGATAAATGAATTCAGTAAACTTTCAGGATACAAAATCAATGTACATAAATCAGTAGCACTGCTATACGCCAACAACAGCCAAGCTGAGAATCAAATCAAGAACTCAATTCCTTTTACAACAGCTGCAAAATAAATAAATAAACAAATACATACATACATACATACATACATACATACTTAGGAATATACTTAACCAAGGAAGTGAAAGATCTCTACAAGGAAAACTACAAAACACTGATGAAAGAAATCATAGATGACACAAAGAAATAGAAATACATCCCATGGTCATGGATGGGTAGAATCAATATTGTGAAAATGACTATAATGCCAAAAGCAATCTACAGATTTAATGCAATTCCCATCAAAATACCATCATAATTCCTCACAGAAGTAGAAAAAACAATCCTAAAATTTATATAGAACCAAAAAAGAGCCTGCATAGCTGAAGCAATACTAAGCAGAAAGAACAAATCTGGAGGCATCACATTACCTGACTTCAAACTATATCACAAGGCTGTAGTTACCAAAACAGCATGGTACTGGTATAAAAATAGGCATATAGACCAATGGAACAGAATAGAGAACCCAGAAATAAAGCCAAATATTTACAGCCAACTGATCTTCAACAATGCATACAAAAACATAAAGTGAGGAAAGGACACCCTGTTCAACAAATGGTGCTGGGACAATTGGCAAGCCACATGTAGAATGAAACTGGATCCTCATATCTCACCTTATACAAAAATCAAGTCAAGATGGATCAAAGCCTTAAATCTAAGAACCGAAACCATAAAGATTCTAGAAGATGACATCAGAAAAACTCTTGTAGACATTGGCTTAGGCAAAGAATTTATGACTAAAAACACAAAAGCAAATGCAACAAGGACAAAATAAATAAATGAGATATAATGGAGCTAAAAAGCTTCTGCACAGCTGCTAATAATAATAATAATAATAATAATCAGCAGAGTAAACAGACAACCCGCAAAGTGGGAGAAAATCTCTACAGTCTATACATCCAACAAAGGACTAATATCCAGAATCTGCAAGGAAATCAAACAAATCAGAAAAAAAAAAAAACCTAATAATCCCATCAAGAAGTGGGCTAAGGACATGAATAGAAAATTTGCAAAAGAAGATATACAAACAACCAACAAACATATGAAAAAATGCTGAACAACACTAATTATCAGGAAAATGCAAATCAAAACCGTAATGAGATACCACCTTACTCCTGCAAAAATGACCATAATTAAAAAATAAAAAAATAATAGATGTTGGCATTGATGTGGTGAAAAGGGAGCATTTCTACACTGCTGGTAGGAATGTAAACTAGTACAACCACTACGGAAAACAGTATGGAGATTCCTTAAAGAACTAAAAGTAGAACTACAATTTGATCCAGCAATCCTGCTACTGGGTACCTACCCAGAGGAAAAGAAGCCATTATATGAAAAAGACACTTGCACACGCATGTTTATAGCAGTACAATTCAGAATTGCAAAAATATGGAACCAACCTAAATGCCCATCAACCAATGAGTGGATAAAGAAAATGTGGTATATAAACATGGAATACCATTCAGCCATAAGACAGAATGAAATAATGGCCTTTGCAGCAACTTAAATGGAGCTGGAGGCCATGAATAATGAATAAGTTAAGTAACTCAGAAAAAGAAAACCAAATATCATATGTTCTCACTTATAAGGGGGAGCTAAGCTATGAGGATGCGAAGGCATAAGAATAATACGATGGACTTTGGGGACGTGTGGGGAGAGGTGGGTGAGGAAAAAAAGACTACATACTGGGTACGGTGCACACTGTTTGGGTGATGGGTTCACCAAAATCTCAGAAATCACCACTAAAGAACTTATCCATGCAACCAAAAACCACCTGTTCCCCAAAAATGACTGAAATAAAAAAAGAATATACTGGATTGTGAAACCATAAATGGATTCAAATTTATATGAAATTTAGTATATGATAGAAAGCAATATTTTACAATAGTGGGGCAATAATAAATTAATTAAAAAGTAGTGTTAGGTCAACAGGCTTATCATTTGGAGTAAAAGTTAGATACATTACATGATATCTTACATCAAAATAAGTTCCAGATTCATTACTTAAGCATAAAGATGAATAAGGCTGTTAAAATATGGTGCTAGAAAAAAAAACAGGTGACTCTTTAAGCAAATATAAAACAGGGCAAGTATAACACTGTAGCTAGAAACTATAAAAGAAGACATTTCAAGGTTTAACTAACAAAATTTTAAAAATTAAGTTTAGAATTAATCACCACACAGAAAGTTACTAAGGCGCAGTGACACATGCCTGTTGTCCTAGCTACTTGGGAGGCTGAGGTGGGAGGATTGCTTCAGCCCAGAGTTCAAGTCCAGCTTGGGCAACATAACAAGACCCTGCATCTAAAAAACAAAACAAACGAAAAAAAGAAAGTTACTAAAGAAATGATCAACTAGAAAATAAAAATGTTTGTATCACAAAGTTAATACCCTAAAGTATATACATAATTCTTACAAACTAAGAAGAAAGGAGATGAATATCCCCTCAAAATAATGAGCAATAACAACTGCCAACTTTTCCTATTTGAGAATGGAAGCTGCCTTAATGAATTAATTTGTATTCCCTTCAGAACAAACTTTTGAAGTAGTTACTGTGTTTTCTACACTTTGGAGGTAAGGAATCAGAAGCTTAGGGAATGTAACCAAACTCCCACATTCACTCGGCTGGACTTGCAGATTCAGGCCATAGCCCTAGACATGCTAGGTGCTAATCCCTAGGCTGCAGGCCTCTCTTGAAAAGACAAGGCATCTAAATTGCTAAGAAATATAACTTGGCAGATTAAGAATGTATGTTGCAGTCTGGCGTGGTGGCTCACGCCTGTAATTCCAGCACTTTGGGAGGCCAAGGCGGGTGGATCACGAGGTCAGGAGATAAAGACCATCCTGGCTAACATGGTGAAACCCCGTCTGTATTAAAAATACAAAAAATTAGCCGGGCATGGTGGTGGGCGCCTGTAGTCCCAGCTACTCAGGAGGCTGAGGCAGGAGAATGGCGTGAACCTGGGAGGTGGAGCTTGTAGTGAGCAGAGATCACGCCACTGTACTCCACCTGGGCGATAGAGCGAGACTCCAAATATAAATTTAGCACACATTAAAAATAACAGTAAGATTTTTCAAGCCCCCCTGAGGCTGAGAAACATGAACAATGAGTAACACCCAGCATTAGTGACACTGTGGGATGTTAAAGAAAATATTATGCAATATTTAAATAATACCTTGTTAAAGCATGGCAAGGTAGGCTTTATTCAGGACCATTGTGATACGTACAGGGACAACAGCAATGGGACTGTGCAGTGGGGAAGAGAGATCAGCATCAACTATGAATATACCACAGACAAGTCGGAATTTACAACCAGGAGCCAGACTAGGGTCAGTGGATGGGAAATGACTAAGAAGAAGCATCAGGGTTTAGGGGGTCCCTGGCTAATCCAACCTAACAGTGTTCTTGCTGAAGACAGGTCAGCATAACCAACATCACCTGGGGGATGGTGGTGGGTGAAGAATCTGATCAGACATGAAGGACAGGGAGTTCTTGCCAAACTGACTTAGCTTTGTTCTTGCTAAATCTGGATTTTGCAAGGAAGTGCACAGATGGGTCAAGGGGAAGGTTCAGAAGCCTGACTAAAGTTTGGCCAAGCATATAATCTTTGTCAAGGGACAGACAGTCTCACTTGTTGGTAGCCATGTGAAGCTGATCACATCTCTGGGTGGAGGGGAGGGTGCCAGGGGAGGGGAGGAGGCACTGATCTGGCCATGGCACTCGGGATACGAATGTGGATGCCTTTGTATCCTCAGTGCCATACTTTGTATCCTGAGTTGGTTTGGGCCTTTTGACCAAACCAACGGGGAAACTAATCTTAGAGCAGCATATGGTGACGGGGGTACAGAGACAGGCTTCGAGCAAAGGCCTGGATGTAGTTCCCAGCGTTGCCCTCACTAGAAGTGTAGGCTTGGGCCAAGGAAGCTGGAGGTTCTTCATCTTCCAAAGTGGATAGTAACTGTATCTGCTCTTAAAGTTGTTGTAAGGACCAGTAGGCTGTAGAAGAGCCTAAGCTGTTTGTGTCTTCTGTGATTGTTTGCTTTTTAAAAACAATGATCTGACAGCTGTTATTGGAATATATATTTATATATGTATGTAGTTCTTTATGAGCATATATGTATGTGTATATGTATGTATATGCATGTGTGTACATATGTGTGTGCATGCTCATGTGCATCTATGTGTATCTATATGCATGTGCGTATAAGTGCATGCATGTGCATGTATATGTGCACATGTGTATGTGTGTATTATGTGTATATATGAATCCATAGACGTATGTATATATGCACATATATACATGTTTGTGTGTATCTATGCATGCATGGACATGCACATGTGTGTATGTGTACGTATCTGTGTGTGTGTGTGTGTGTGTGTGTGTGTGTGTGTGTGTGTATGGAGGGGCAGGGCCACTGGCAAAAGACTTGGCTTTAGAAGTAGAGAGGCTCTGACAGGGAGGTTTCTTCCTAGCGGCAGGGCAAAGGGAGCAGAGATGCTTGGAAGGGAAAGAAGGAACCCGATTTTCTCTGGAGAGGGCCCCAAAGCCTGTGCAAGGCTCGTTCTTGAGCTGCTGACCTCAGCAGCAGAGATGGGGCAAAGTTAGAGAGGCCAAATGCAACCAAGGGTCAGCCTGCAAGCAGAGAAAAGTGCTCAGTTAAAAAATTACTCGAGCCACCCTTTGGACTGACTGAAGGCCTTGCTCTTCCTCCTGCCCCACAGGCTATCAACTGGTGTATGGCTTAATTATTGACGTTTAAAAGTGAGTTAACTGCTTTCTTACAGATGAATCGCAATTAATAAATGTGGAACGAATGAGAGACGAAGACGATGAGCACCAGAGGACTGCAGGGAGCACGGCTGAGGCAACATCACCAGAGGATAGTAAAATTAGCAGACAGAGATCTAAGCACAAACAGTGTCTCTGTGTAGCCTTAAAGCATCTCTTTGAATATTTAATGGTTACAAAGGAAAAACAGTGAGTTGATGGGGGAGAACCCTGGCAGGCACCACCCTAACCAAGAGATCAAAGTTGGCATGACCAGGCACAAGGCACACTAACAGCCCACACCCACTGATCTGGCCCACCGAAAATGCACATCACTTCTGTGGCATTGCCACGGAATTTCCAAAAAGGCATTACCTCAGTCCAATGCAGAGAAGGCGTCAGGCAGACCTAGGCGGAGAGACTGTCCAAGAGCGACAGACCCATCCTCTTAAAAAGCCGGCCCTGACACAGAAAGGAGACAGAGAAAGGTGACAGCCAAATGCACGTGGGAGCTGGGAACAGAGGAGGGCACTGGGAGGGGCCTGCCTGCCGTCCAGCTCTCGAGACCACGGCGAGGTGAGTCTCAGCTCTCATAATCGCACTCTGATTCATGGAATGCCGGCATGAGAAGAGGCTGGGGGTGGGGAGGCTGCTTTCGCAATTCTTCTATAAGTCTAAAATTATCTCAGAATGGGACACTTTCGAAAGTGAGTTCATGAATAGAAACAGGCAGTGGCAGTGTATGTGTCACCCTCTAAGCATATTCCATGGCCCTTGCTAGGATCCGACTTGTGCTGATTTAGGAACAAATACTGCAGGTGAGATGGCACCACCATGAGCACTTTCTGCAGGGTCTTCTGGACAGGCATGGAAGGGGCTACCTGAGCCCTGGGGTGAGAGGCATTTAGAGTCCGACGTTGACACATCTCAAACCAGACCTCTCTCAGACAGCCCAGGCCCTGTGGCCACCAGGTGTGTGCTTACACAGGCCAGAAATGCTTCACCCCTACAGACATGTCTGGGTTCTCCACAGCTCCTCCCAGACCCCGAGGAGGCTCCTGGAATGTAACCTGGCCAAAACGGAGCTCCAGATACCACCCACCCACAAGCCAGCTTCTCCTCTGTCTTCCCTAGGTCAGAAAATGGTCCCAAACCAATAACTCATCATCTTTTCTTTTTGAGACAGGGCCTCACTCTGTCATCCACTGCTAGAGTGCAGTGGCACAATCATGGCTCATTGTACCCTCAACATACCCAGCTCAAGCGATTCTCCCACTTCAGCCTCCCAAGTAGCTGAGACTACAAGTGTGCACCACCACACCTGGCTAATTTTTTTTTTTTTTTTTTTTTAGAGATGCAGTCTTGCTATGTTGCCCAGGCTGGTCTTGAACTCCTGGGCTTAAGCGATCCTCTCACCTCAGCCTCCGAAAGTGCTGGGACTAGAGGCATGAGCCACCGCCCCTGGCCTAAACATCATCTTTGATTCTCTGTTTCTTTCATGCTCTCCTGTTTGCTCTGCCTCCAAAATCTATCCTTAGTCCATCACTTTTTCCCCCTCTGCCCCTTCGTCTCTTCTCCACCAGGCAGACAACTGAGCCTTTTAAACCTCCATCAGATTTGTCCTCTCCTGGCTTGGACCCCTGCAATGACTTCTTACCTGGGTCCAGCCTCCTCTGCCCCTCCTGCCACCTGCAGACCTTCGAAAGGTCCTCTTTGTCTCCTTCTGGGAGCTGCACCCCTGCCCTGTCTTCCTGCTAAGCACTGGCTGCTTCCCTCCCCTCGTCCAGACTCAACCCCATGGACACCTCCCCCACTGCTGCTCGCTCGCTCTCCCTTCTCATCTCATCCTCCTTCCTCTGCAGTGCTTATTCCTGCCTGGAATGCTCTTCACTGATCCTCGTGTTTATCAACCCCACTCTTCTAATGCCCATCCGTGAGAGCAGGGCCTTCTCTTTCCCTGTTTTGTATCTCAAATCTAGAACAGCATCTTGCACACAGTAGATGTTCAATAGACACTCCTTAAGTTAATTACTTAGTGAATTAGCCACTTTCCCTTCTTTAACTGTAGCCCTCCCGTGGGGAGCAGCAGGAGCTGGGCAGGCGAGATGGCCCAGGGGTTTTCTGGAGGGAAAGATAGCAATAGAAACTGTTGGCCCTGTGGCTGAGTCTGTGGGGAATGGAGAGTCACTTGGGGTGACATAGGGTCACCTGGAGCCTGCTAATTCCTCAGAAGTGGTGGAACTCTTCCCACCTGTTAATGAATGGCCCGGTGTGGGAACTGGGACCCCAGCCCTGTGCTTCCCTGGAGCCAGTCTGTACCTGGCCTCAGGTAATCATGCCACAGGGAATCTGCTCCACATCCTGGGAAGTGGAGAAAGAAGAAATCAACCAAACAGCAGGGTGCAAAGGAGGGGGCTTGCCTTGGGGACTGGAATGAATGCTCCTCTGTGGTTTTACTGTTTCAGCCACTTCCGTGGACACTTAGGGTGTGGAGGGAATGAATTAGGCGAGCCGTGATGGCAGCAGGCCACAGAAATTAAAGGGATGGCATTTGTTGAGTGGGTACTCGGGGACTTCTGGGCTGAAGTAAGAGGAGGCTAAGCCCGGCAAGGAGCAGGGATCACAACAGTTCCAGGGCACCTGGCTGGCTGGCCCAGCCATGAGATTTGAAACCTCGTCTCCTGGTGCTGCCAGATCCATGGAGCCTGAGTTCTAGGTCTCTGTTCATCCCTAACATTCCTGGGTGACCAGCTGATCAGCAAGCCACAGGCAGGTGGCAGAGTCCTGGTCACAGATGCAACCGGCCCAGGGACATCTGTGAGCCTGGAGAAAGCACACATCAATGGCAAAGGCCGGGACGCAGCCACCTGGGAGAGTGGCAGCCCCGGCCTCCTTCCCTCCTCCAGGGAGCATTGCTGCTGTGGTTTAGGAACACTCGTTTGCAGTTTACTTATTGACCAGCCAAAGTCTTGACAGTTTTAAAGAACACTCTTTAATTTATCTCAATGTCCAATTTCAGCCCTCCCAGTTCTGGCGAACCTTCCTCTGTCCCGACCTTGGTTATTCATTCCATGTGGGCTCCTCTTTCTTCTTAGCCTCTCCACCTACATTGTTCTGGATGCTTCTCAAGCTTTTCTCCTGCTCAGCTGGACCTCTTTTGTGCGGTGTCAGTCTGATGTTTCGCAGCTTCCAGGCATTATTTTCAGGGGTCTTTTGCAAGTCTTCTATTTTTGCCCTCATTAAAAAATATCGTGGGCTGCTCTGGTCTTAAGGTTGCTGTGCCCTCTTTCATTTCCTTGTAAGTAGGTTTCTGCCATCCTCTGAAATTTCAAGTGGGAAGCCACCTGGAGGCTAGGTGAACAGGGCAAGGGCATTGCCCCTTCCTGTGGGAGCCCCTCCCTAGGTCACACGTGACTTTTCCTCCACTTGCTCAGAAGTCTTTCCATTTAACTGCCTTTCCTCTTCAGCGGCTGCTGAGGGTTCCTGGTTGTGGGAGAATGTTTCAGACATGGCCCTCTGTCACCTTCTCTGAAGGCAGTGGCCTGTAACAAGATGAAAGTGGATAAAGATAAAAAAGATTCAAAAAAATGGTAAAAGTACAGAATGAGACCTTTTGACAAGGCTTATATGAAAATTTTGAAGTAACTCCGTCAAATGGCTACATTAAATGTAAAAGTGGTATATAATTTAAAATGGCCAAATAATATGTAAAGTGACCCAGTTCTGTTTTCTTCCAGATTCAGAAGGGAATTGGGCCATTCCTTCTCCAAAGCAGAACGTACTGCAGCTGTGAGAGTTCTAGGAGAAAATTCAGGTGGATGCTTCTGTAATCTTGGAATGGAGGCTAAGCCTGGCAACAATGCTAGAAAACAGTGCTGAAGTTTGACAGATTTAGCCACATACAATGGCAAATGACAAACTGTAAAAGGAATTCTTGTGAGACAGAGGAAGGAAGGAAGGAAGGAAGGAAGGAAGGAAGGAAGGAAGGTAGGAAGGAAGAAAGGAAGGAAGGAAGGGGCACCCTAATAGGGCAAACAGTAGTATAGGTCAGAAATAACTTTGAAAGAACCACAGGGTGCTGGTGGGCCAATCAGGGACAGACAGACCCCCTCTTCCAGGGGCTGGGCTGGGCTGGGGTGGGGTCCACAGGTGCAGCCCTGGAGCTGGGCTTGCCTGTCTGCATCCAAGCATCCCTGTGCTTTCCCTGTGAGCTGGCAGTCCCCACTATGAGATTCTAGCCTGGGAATGTGCTATAGGGAAGCTTACAGCAGCAGATCATAGAAAAGCAAAATAGAAATGTGAAAGGAAAATAAAAACTTGGGACCCCTACTCCCTCCGCCAAAAGAAAAAAAAAATGCTGAAAGTGGAGTCATGCAAGAAGCTGCCTTTCCCTTTGTTCCTAAGCAGATAGAGACAGATAAAAGGTTAAAGATCTCCACTCTGCATTCACCTTATCTTGTGTGAAGAGTCGAGTTACTGAGCATGGGACGAACACATAACTGACCATTCCCCTACATGCTCCTTTTCTTTTGCAACATTTGGATTCAGTAATGTGACCATACCCTCCCTCTGTCCCCTCCAGCTGGCTTTTTCCTTTAAATACTGAAGCCCTCGAAATCATCTTTGGAGAAAGGCACAGACCTGTCTCCCAAGACGTGTCCTTAATCTTGGCAAAGTAAACTTCTAAGTTGATCGAGGCTTGTCTCAGATATTTTCAGGTTTACAGAAAGAAATTCAATTTCAGTCACAAACGGAATGATAAAATAAGTTGTTACGCATCCATAGAAAGAAGATATTAACATGGTAAGCCCTGTATTTATTAACCTATGCTTACGATAAATAAAAACAGGCTGTATGGTCAAAGGTGGAATACAGCTATAAGGAGAGAAGAAGTGAGAAATGTATCGTCTTTTAAATTCGTTTCCTTTATTACTAGTGAAGTTGAGGATATGCTCCCATTTAGGGGCCGGTTACTTTGTCTTCTGTGAATTGCCTGTTAAATCCTTACCCATTTCCTACTCTTTTCTTATTGATTGGAAAGACATGTTTATGCAACACAGATATTAACCATTGGCACATTACTTCTATTGTAAACTATTTTCTCCCTGCCTGGAATTTGTCCTTTAATTTGTTTAAGGAGGCATTCATTTAGTTCTTGCAATATTCAAATCTGTCAGTCATTTCCTTTACGGTTTCCAGGTTTTGTTTGCTGCTTAGTAAAAGCCTTCTTCACCATAGGATTTTAAAAATATTCTTCCATATTTGGCTTTAAAACTTTTATAGATTTTTTAAATGTTTAGCTCTTTAATACACCTGGAGTTTATTCTTGCAAATGGTAAGAAGATTCTAACATTGGTTTCAAAATGGATAGTGAGTTTTCCCCAAAGCCTCTGTTGACCTTCCATCTTTCCAGCTTGGCTTTGAAAGGTCTCCTGTATCAAATACTAAATTTCCCCATAAACATGAATCTGTTTCTGGATTTTCTGTGTGAATTACTGAAGTCTTTTTGGAGGTTTTCGAAATCATCTTCAGGATTCCTATATATTTTCTCTTTCAGATGAACTTTCAAATCAGCTTCTCAAGTGTCAACATCCTGTTGCGATTTTCATTGATATTGAACTGAATTTATAGATTTTGTAAGCAGAAAAAAATTATTTTAATTTTTTGAGAAAAAAAGTTTTAAATGGTTTGTTTTCAGACTGTGTCAAGATATCCCTACCTCCGAAGTTGTCAGGTTTGCGGACCTTGGGGTGAAGCGTGGGGCTGCTGGAGGCGTCCAGCCCTGACTGTGTGTCCAGGACAATGAGCCCCGAAGTGAGCGGGCCGCGTCCTGTTGGCGCAGCCAACTTCACGCCCTCTGTCCAGGGAGGACTAAGGGACAAGCTGCAGCAGGCGCAGAGGACGCTGTTGGTGTCCGGGAGGCCGCTGGTACAGGGCGTTGGGCGTGGCTCCTTTCCAAGTGCCTTGCACTTTCCAGGCTGGGCTGCAGAAGCAGGCTCGGGGGCGACTCGCGTGGGGACTGAAGCAGCCAGCCTTGGCACCTGCCCACAGCAAATAACTGCCTTGACTTGATCTGGTTTTTTTGAAGAAAGGTTTATTCATACCCATTATGTGCGCATGTGTAAATTCAAACCCACGGCTTGCCGGAGCCTGGGCTTTCTCGAACATCAGTTGCTCCCATGCTACCATTTTGCAGTTTGCCCGTCTCCAGTAGATGATTTCTGAATATTTTAATCAACTCATTATTAACCATTCACACGTCTACCTTAGCCTCATTTTAAGCAATTGCACCTGTGGGTTTCACAGGCCTGCTGTATTTTTAGTACATATTAAATAAAGCATGTCTGTTGGGGCGTGCTGTGCTTGCCCACCTGCCATGTCGAGTCATTGTAGCCGCACGCTGGCAGAGAGGACGGAGCCTGAGTCCGGGTGCCGAAGGCGTTGGTCTTGCCCGGGCTTTGGCCCCAGCCGCTGCCAAAGACCTAGAGGAAAGAATTTCAGCGTTAGGGCTTCATCCGCCTATCGTGGAATCAGGACTTCGACTCAGCGCTCCAATTGCTGGGGCGGTGAAAGGCGTATCCCCGCGGCGCGGCGCCTGAGGGAGCCTCTGGAGCAGATTCCCATGCACAGACCCTCGCGGTGATGGGGACGGAGGGGGAAACCCAGGCTCCCGAGCAAGCTGGGGCTGGCTTGGGGCCAAGGAGTGTCCTTATTCTGTAGCTCCCAGAGCTCACAGGAGGGGGCTGGGGAGGAAGCGGACAGCCGGGAGTAGGGGCAGAAGAAAGCGCCCACATCAACTGGCTGGCACGAACCACATGTTCCCTAGAACGGGAATCCCTGCCGGGTGAGGGAGGCCGGAGCTGAGCCGCAGCCCCAGGAAGGGCGGGGCCTCTTCAAAGCATTCCCTCCGCAACGCTCTGGTAGCCCTGGGACTCCAGCCTCGCCTGCCAGCCCCAGCTCAAAAGGCCTCTGTCTCCCTCGGGCCTGGGGGTGGGAGCAGCCTCAAGATAATGGAGTGCGTGAGCTGGGGCCTCATTCAGACCTCTCCCCACCGTAAGGAGAGAACAGAGGGCCCGGACAGGGAGCGGGGGACTGGGCAGAATCACACAGCCAGCCAGGGGCTCCAGCTACAGTCCCCTGAACCAGCCCAGGCCATCCCTGACTCCCAGGGGACACTGGTAGCTGTTTTGGCTCTATTGGGGCCGGGGGGGTGGGGGGAGGCTAATGCTATGGAAAACATGCCGTAGGCATAGTGCAAAATGGACCAGAAGGAAAATTTTTAAAGTGGGACAAATACAGTACAGAATGCTGAGCTAATATGCTTAAACATCTTAAAGCAATACATAATTTTTAAAAGAAATGTCAGGCCAGGGGTGATGGCCTGTAATCCCAGCACTTTGGGAGGGAGAGGCAGGAGCATCCCTTGAGCCTAGGAGTTTGAGACCAGCCTGGGCAACATAGGGAGACCTCGACTCTTAAAAAAATAAAATAAATGTCAAGTACTAAAATTAACTCAAGATATAAAAAAAACACTGGAAAAGAAATCTCACTTAGGTGCAAGTCTCAGAATCATAGCAAAGCAAATGTAAACCAAAAATTAAATTCTAAGGCTCCCCCCAACCATCTGAATGGAACCCTCCTCTTGGCCAAAGGTATTCCAAAGTTAACCTGAAAAACTTGTTTAGGCCATGATGGGAAGAGGGGTGGTGGGACATGCCTCTTTATACCTGCCTCTCTTTTGGAATTCAGGAAAAGGTGACCAATGTTAACATCAACATAGACCTTAGTGTCTGATGAGAAATATTTACCAATTCTCTCTGAAGGCTGCTACTTGGAGGCTTCATCTGTGTCATAAAACCTAGGTCTCCACAACCTCTTATAGTAACCCAGACATTCCTTTCTATTGGAAATAACTCTTTCAAGCAATTAGCAGTCAGAAAATTCTTAAACTACCTATGACTGGGTGTGGTGGCTCACACCTGCAATCCCAACACTTTGGGAGGCTGAGGCGGGCAAATCACAAGGTCAGGAGTTCAAGACTAGCCTGGCCAACGTGGTGAAACCCCATCTCTACTAAAAATACAAAAAATTAGCTGGGCATGATGTGGGGGCGCCTGTAATCCCAGCTACTTGGGAGGCTGGGGCAGGAGAATTGCTTGAACCCAGTAGGTGGAGGTTGCAGTGAGCCAACATCATGCCACTGCACTCCACTCCGGGTGACAGTGCGAGATTCTGTCAAAAACAAAACAAAACAAAACAAAACAAAACAAAACAAAAAAACCTACCTGTGACCTGGAAGCCTCCACCTCCCCCTTTAAGTTTACTTATCATCAAGACCTCCTGAGGCTGTGTCACAGGTGTGTGTTCTTAACCTTGGCAAAATAAACTTTTTCTAAATTGATTGAGTCCTAACTCAGATATTTTTGAGTTCATATAGAATATGAAGAATCCACCAGGACAATAAAACAAAACAAGGCTTGTCCAGGGATTGTAGACATGGATCATTCTTGCAAGATCCATTACTGCTGGTCATTAGATTATTAGGCAAAGCAAGAGATTAGCGCCTCAAAAGGTTCTGAATAAGTATTTCATAATGTAATACCATATTTAGTATAAAAAGCTTTTGCTGGTTAGGAATAAAATATCCTTAATGAAACAAAAGGAATTTTACCAGAACCCAACAGGCATCACTATACTTTCAGGGAAAGACTTGAGTGGTATTAAATGCCTTTGAAAATCCAGTGGGGAACCTGGATGTTATACACACAAAAATAAATTTGTGGACATGCATTGAAAATTTTGTACAGATTTTCAAGGGGCTCATGGGGCTGCTTGAAGCCTTTTGGTGGCCCTCTTAGACATGTCTGGACCCTGGCTTCAGGTCTCTGAATTACAGGGGGTAAGCCAGAGTCACATGCAAGAGTGACGTACTCAGTTCTGTATTCAAATCCCAGCTCTGCACCCAGATGCGTAACTGTGGGCAACTTACTTAACCTAAACTTTGTACCTTTGCTTCCTCATCTGAAACTGTGGCTCACAATGGAACCCACTTCACAGTCATAAGGAGGATTTAATATTAATGTATGCAAAGCTCCTAGCATATAATAAGAGCTCAATAATGTGTAGCAATGGACTATTATTCAAAGGAAACACATCCTTTTGGGAATAAAATAAAGATTCCTGCCTCATCTGTCACTATTTCATATTGTATTTGAGATCCTAGACAATGAAATGAGTCTAGAAAATTATTTAAGCTGTAAATATTAATAATATAGATAAGAACCATTTTTACAAGTATAATTTTAACTCCTCAAATTTAAGAAAATAATATAAAAACTATTAGAATCAAGAAATGTTCAGTAAATTAAACAGATTTTCCATATAATAGAAATAATCATAAGATATAAAGGGGTATATTCTATCTCTCATAGCAACAAAAACTTAGAAATAAACTGAAACATAAATGTGATTCTAGTCAGGGCAGTAAGTGAAGAAAAATAAATAAGAAGCATCCAGATTGGAAAGGAAGAAGTAATGCTATCTTTATTCACAGATCACATAACTTGTATGTAGGAAATTCTAAGAAATCCACTAAAAAACTATTAGAACTAATAAAAGAGTTCAGCAAGTTTGCAGGATACAAGATAAATGAATATACAGTAATGTGCCACACAAAAACATTTGGTTAACAATGGATCGCATATACGATGAGGGTCCCATAAGATTATAGTGGAGCTGAAAAATTCCTACTGCCTAGTGACGTCGTAGCTGTCGTAATGTAGTAGCACAATGCATTACTCACCTGCCTATGGTGATGCTGGCGAAAACAAACCTGCCGTGCTTCCAGTCATTTCAAAGTCCAGCACACACAGTTATGTACAGAACATAGTGTTTGATAATGATAATAAACGATTATGCTACTGCTTTATTTACTATATTCTATTTTAATTGTGGTTTTTAGCATGTACTCCTTCTACTTATTTAAAAAAAAATAGCTGCTGTAAAACAGTCTCAGACAAGTCCTTCAGGAGGTATCCAGAAGAAGACACTGTCATCACACAGGAAATGACAGCTCTATGTGTCATAAAGCTGAACACCTTCCAGTGGGACAGAATGTGGAGGTGGAAGATGGTGATGTTGATGATCTTGGCCCTGTGTTAGCTTAGGCTAATGTGTGTGCGTGTTCTTCATTTTTAACAAAAAAGTTTAAATAGTAAAAAGAAAATAAAATCATTTTAAAATAGAAAAATACTTATAGAATAATAGACAATATTTTTATACAGCTGAACAATGTATTTGTGTTTTAGTCTGTGTTATTATAAGTTAAAAAGTTAAAAGAAAATTAAGTTTATACATTAAAAAAGATAGGTAAGTTTAATTTATTTAAAATATTTAAATATTTAATTTTTTTATTTTAAATATTTTTATTTTAAATATTTAAATATTTTAAATATTTTTATTTTAAATATTTAAATATTTTAAATATTTTTATTTTAAATATTTAAATATTTTAAATATTTTTATTTTACATATTTAAATATTTTAAATATTTTTATTTTACATATTTAATATTTTAAATATTTTTATTTTACATATTTAAATATTTTAAATATTTTAAAAATGAATTTAGTGTAACTTGAATGTACAGTGCTCATAAAGTCTACAGTAGTGCACAGTAGTGCCCGAGGCCTTCACATCCACTCACCACTCACTCACTGACTTGCCCAGAGCAACTTCCAGTCCTGGTAGCTCCATTGATGGTAAGTGCCTTATACAGGGGTACCATATCTTATCCGTTGTAATATATTTTTACTGCCCCTTTTCTATGTTTAGTTATGTTTACATACACAAATACCATTGTGTTACAATCACCTACAGTTTTCAGTATAGTAACATGCAGTATGGGTTTGTAGCCTAGGAGCAATAGGCTATATTGTACCATATAGTTTAGATGTGTAGTAGGCTAAATCATTCAGATTTGTGTAAGTACACTCTAAGGTGTTCACACAATGACAAAATCACCTAACATCACATTTCTCAGAATGTATCCCTGCGTTTAAGTGATGCATGACTGTACAAAACTTAGTTGTATTTCTATATGCTTGCAATGAACAATCTGAAAATAAAATAATGAAAACAATTCAATTTGTAATAGCATCTAAAGGAATAAAATGCTTACAAATAAACAAAAAGAAGTGTGTAAGGGTATTGAAAAAACATTATCATTTTCCCCCACTGTACTCTTACAATACAACACAGAATTCTTCTGTGAACAAATATATAAGGATTTCTCCCTACCAATCCACCAAGCAAATTTCGGCCAGATTCTCTAGTGGGCACCAGTTAGACGTTCTCTAATTCAATTAAATTCTGACTCTGTTTACCTAGAGATAGTGTTAGATTCCACAGATAGAGGGCTCAGCCCCACAAAACTACCTCCAATTCAGATACCTGGAACCCTGACTACAAACCAGGATTGCCATGACCTCCCTCCTTGGGGTCAATTAATTTGCTAGGATGGCTCACCAGAACTCAGGGAAGCACTTTCCCACATTTGCTGGTTTAGTATAAAGGACATTAAAAAGAACACAGATGAACAGCCAAATGAAGTATATGTAGAGTGAGGTATGTGGAAAGGTGTGCGGCAGTTTCATGCCCTCTCCAGGCATGACACCCTCCAGGAACCTCCATATGTTTAGCTATCTAGAAGCTCCCTGAACCCAGTCTTTCTACATTTTTAATAGAAGCTTCATTACATAGACATGGTTGATTAAATTGTTGGTCACTGTTGATCAACTTAACCTTCAGCTTCTCTCCCCTCTTTGGAGGTTGGGGGTGGGGCTGAAAAGTCCCAACCCTCTAATCATGCCCATGTTTTTCCTGTGATCACCCCCACATCTTCAAACTACTTAGGGGCTGCTATCCACCAGTCATCTCATTAGCATACAAAAGACATCCTTATCACGCTGGAGATTCTGAGGGTTTTAGGAGTTGTATGTCAGGAAATAGGACAAAAACTATATATATATATATATATATATATAAATATATTTATATATGTATATCACAATATCACAATGTAATGTGTAAAACTTATACTCAGAAAACTACAAAGCTTGGTTGAAAAAAATTGAAGAACTTAAAAATGGAAGGACATCCCATGTTCATGGATCGCATATGGTATAAGATGGCAATACTCTCCAAATTGTTCTACAGATTCAAGTCAATCCCTAGATTCTTTATAGATTTTGACAAATGGATCTAAAAATTAATGTGGAAACTCAAGTGACCCAAAATGGCAAGAAGATTTTGAAAAAGAAGAATGAAGTTGGAAGGCTTGCATTTCCTAGCTTCAAAACTTACTACAAACCTACAGTAATCAAGACCATGTGGTACCAGCGTAAGATTCAACAGAATAGAATTGAAAGTCCAGAAATAAACCCCATGTGTCTATGGTTAACTAATTTTTAATAAGGGTGCCAGGTACATTCAACAGGGAAGGAATAATCTCTTTAACAAATGATGCTGAAACAATGGAATACCCTAATGCAAAAGAATGTACTTGAACACTTACATCTTGCCATATACAAAAATTGACTCAAAATGGATCAAAGACCTAAATGTGAGTCCCAAACCTAAAACTCTGAAGAGAAAACACAGGGTAAATCTTCATGACTTTGTATTTGGCAATAGATTTTAAAATAAGACACCAACAGCATGAACAACAAGAGGAAAAATAGATACATTATACTTCATCTAAATCGAAAACCTTTCTGCCTCAAAGGACACTCTCAAGAAAGTGAAAAAAAATCCCACAGAATGGGTGAAAATATTTGCAAATCATATATTTGATAAGAAACTTGTATCTAGAATATATAAAGAACACAGCTCAATAATAAAAAGACAACCCAATTAAAAATGAATAAAGGATCTGAATAAACATTTTTTCAAAGAAGATATATAGATGTCTATTAAGCAAATGAAACAGTGATCAACATTATTAGACATCAGAGAAATCCAAATCAAGACAACAATGAGATACCATTTCACACCCCCACTATATAATAGCTCTAATCACAAAGTCAGACAATAATAAGTGTTAGCAGGGTTGAGCAGTAATCCTCATAGATTGCTTGTGAGAATGAAAAATGGAGCAGCTGCTT